>NC_000002.12:32868130-32916625 GCF_000001405.40 Homo sapiens | reverse complement strand
CCCCCCCCCCCCCCCCCCCCCCCCCCCTCCCCCCCCCCGCCCCCGCCCCCCCCCCCCCCCCCCCCCCCTCCCCCCCCCCCCCCCCCCCCCCCCCCCCCCCCCCCCCCCCCCCCCCCCCCCCCCCCCCCCCCCCCCCCCCTCCCCCCCCCCCCTCCCCCCCCCCCCCCCCCCCCCCCCCCCCCCCTCCCCCCCCCCCCCCCCCCCCCCCCCCCCCCCCCCCCCCCTCCCCCCCCCCCCCCCCCCCCCCCCCCCCCCCCCCCCCCCCCCCCCCCCCTCTCACCCCCCCCTCCCTCCCCCCCCCCCCCCCCCCCCCCCCCCCCCCCCCCCCCCCCCCCCCCCCCCCCCCCCCCCCCCCCCCCCCCCCCCCCCCCCCGCCCCCCCCCCACCCCCCCCCCCTACCCACGCCCCCCCGCAGCCCCGCCCGCCCGCAAGTACGCCCGCCGGAAGGAAGGCAGGGAGGTAAGGGGGAGGGAGGGAGGGAGGAAGGAAAGAAGGAAGGAAGGAAGGGAGGGAAGGAAGGAAGGAGGGAAGGGGGAGGGAGGGAGGGAGGAAGGAAAGAAGGAAAGAAGGAAGGAGGGAAAGAAGGAAAGGAAAGAGAGAGAGAGGGAAGGAAGTAGAGCAGGAGGGAAGGAGGAAGGGAGGGAGGAAGGAGGAAAGGAAAGAAGGAGAAAGGAGAGAAGAAGGAAAGAAGGAAGGAGGGAAGGTAAGAAGGAGAGGGAGGGAAGGAAGGAGGGAGGGAGGGAAGGAGGAGAGAACAAAAGATGAAAGATTAAAGAAGGGAAGAAGAAGGAAGAGGATAAGGAAGAGAAGATGAAGAAGGAAGTGAAGGTCCAAGAAGATGGTGAAATGTTAACAGGTGACAAAAAGTACAAACTACCAAATACTCAAATTCCATCTTCTGGAGCGAGGAGAATGGATTCTGATTTCTAACTGTGCAGCAAAGTAGATGATGAAAAGGGAAAACTGGAGCCTACAGTAAGTTAGAGAACAAGGAAAAATCTAGGTATATTTTAAAATAAAATATATAAAATTTAGGCAAGATTTTAAATCTTCTGGGTCCAAACAAATTATATTCCAGAGTACAAAAGAAATTTGCAGATAGAATCACAGAACCACTAGCGGTAAGTTTGAGAAATCATGGAGAGTGGGGAAAACGCCAGAAACCTTGGGGAATGTTCTGTTTTGCAATATACGTTGCGGAAAAAAAAAAACCAAAAACAATAGATTCTGAAAACTACAGACCATAAATCTGATGGGATTCTAATCAAGGAGAATGAGTGCTATTAGACCTTGCAGCGGTCAGAACACTTTTTTTTTTTTTTTTTTTTTTTTGTGAGACGGAGTCTCGCTCTGTCACCCAGGTTGGAGTGTAGTGGCGCTATCTCAGCTCACTGCAAGCTCCGCCTCTCGGGTTTATGCCATTCTCCTGCCTCAGCCTCCTGAATAGCTGGGACTACAGGCGCGTACCACCACACCCGGCTAATTTTTTTGTATTTTTAGTAGAGACGGGGTTTCACCGTGTTAGCCAGGATGGTCTCAATCTCCTGACCTCGTGATCCGCCCACCTCGGCCTCCCAAAGTGCTGGGATTACAGGCATGAGCCACCACGCTGGCTTTTCTATTTTTATTTTTTTGTTGTTGTTGTTGTTGTTAGTGAAGGATGTTGTCAAACTAGAGTCTTCCAACAGAGAGTGATTACTGCCATGAGAAAGTCAGAAACCATGCCATACAAAGGAAGGTTGAGCAGTATAAATAGCACAGATGTAAGATGCCTAAGAAGGGTATCAAAGATCTGGCCACACATGGTGGCTCACACCTGTAATCCCAGCACATTGAGAGGCCGAGGCGTGTGGATCACCTGAGGTCAGGAGTTCGAAACCAGCCTGGCCAACATGGTGAAACCCCATCTCTACTAAAATTACAAAAAAATTAGCTGGGCGTGGTGGTGGGTGCCTATAATCCCAGCTACTTGGGAGGCTGAGGCAGGAGAATTGCTTGAACCTGGGAGGTGGAGGTTGCAGTGAGGTGAGCCAAGATCACACCATCGCACTCCAGTCTGGGCAACAAGAGCAAAACTCTGTCTCAAAAAATAAAAGGGTATCAAAGATCTGAAATGTGATCATGTATATGAAGCTGCAGAATTATTGCATGTTGCCTTAGAATTGGAAACAATAGTAGAAACAGAATTAGAACCAACTGTAGAAATTTTAAGTAAGCAGATTTTTTTTCCTCAGTATTTGAAAGGATTTTCTGTTTGTTCATTCATTCAACAAATTTATTGAGCACTTCCTTTGTGCCAAACACTGCACTAGGCACTGAGGGTGCATGATAGATAGGGTTCCTACTTTCATGAGATTTACAGTATTATGGGGGAAAACAAACAATAAACAAGTAAATAAGCAACATAATCACAGATGGTAGCAGAAACCAGGAAGGAAAGAATAGGGAATGAATAGAGAATAGCAGGAAGTGTCTACTTTTAAAATGGCGAGGGATGACTGGGTGAGGTGGCTCACACCTGTAATCCCAGCACTTTGGGAGGCCGAGGTGGGCAGATCACCTGAGGTCCGGAGTTCAAGACCAGCCTGGCCAACATGGTGAAACCCTATCTCTACTAAAAATACAAACATTAGCTGGGTGTGGTGGTGCATGTCTGTAATCCCAGCTTCTCGGGAGGCTGAGGCAGGAGAATCGCTTGAACCTGGGTGGCAGAGATTGCAATGAGCCAAGATGGCACCATTGCACTCCAGCCTGGGCAACAAGAGTGAAACTCTGTCTCAAAAAATATAAATAAAATAAAACAAAATGGTGAGGAAAAACCTCTCTGAGGAGGTGACATTTGTGCCAAAACCTACATGCAACAAGGGTGGGGCTATGTAACACTTTGGGTCAGAGATATCAACAGGTGCAAAGGCCCTGAGACTGGAAAGAGTTTGACTTGTTCCCAGAACCGAAAGGAACCAGGATCAGAGATGTGGTGAGCAAGAAAGGGGGAAAGTGAGATTATGAGATAAGGTTGAAGAGAGACACAGGAAGCAGGGAATAAGATGTTGCCATCCTAAGGAATTTAGGATGTCTTGTAAGAGATGTGGGAAGCCATCCAAAGTTTTGAGAAGAAAAGTCAGATGATCTGATGGATGCGTTTTGATGATCATTCCAGCTGCTCTGTGATCAAGGATCAGTGAGGGACCAGAGGGGAAGCAGGAAGCATATTTTGGAGGCTACTGTAGTTTCCAGATGAGAGATGGCAGTGCAGGCAATCTCCAACTTACAATAGGTCGACTTGCAATTTTTCAACTCTATGGTGGTGCAAAAGCAATACATATTCAGTAGAAACCGTACTTCAAGTACCCATACAACCATTCTGTTTTTCACTTTCAGTACAGTATTCAATAAATTACATGAGATATTTGACACCTTATTATAAAATAGGCTTTGTATTAGATGACTTTGCCCAACTATAGATTAATGTAAGGTGGGCTAAGCTAACCTATGATGTTCAGTAGGTTAGAGGTATCGAAAGCATTTTCAACTTAAGATATTTTCAATTTGTGATGGGTGTATCAGGAGAAAACACCATCATAAACCGAGGAGCATCTGTACTGAAAATTAAGGGCGTAGAGTTGAGTTACAGAGTTAATTGAAAATGCTTTTGAGATACCAGAGAAAGAATTTACTGATGAGTTGAATATGGAGTTTGAGAGATTAGAAGAAAAATGACTCAAGGATCCAAAAATGGACTTGGATGACAGGCACTGAATGGCCACACCTGAGAGGACACTGCAAAAGGGAACCTGGGACTAGGCTGACAGAATGGGCTGGAAAAACTAAGGTTGCATTTGATTCAGTGATGACAAAAGAACTCCTGAAAATATGTGTCAAGCACCTACTTGGTGCTGCAGATCTACAAAACCTCCAAAGAACTGGCCTTTGATTTGACACAATTCTTTTTTTTTTTTTTTTTTTTTTTTTGAGACAGAGTCTCACTCTGTTGCCCAGGCTGGAGTGCAGTGGCACGATCTCGGCTCACTGCAACCTCCGCCTCCCACGTTCAAACAATTCTCCTGGCCAGGCACAGTGGCTCACGCCTGTAATCCCAGTACTTTGGAAGGCTGAGGTGGGTGGATCACGAGGTCAGGAGATCGAGACCATCCTGGCTAACACAATGAAACCCCGTCTCTACTAAAAATACAAAAAATTAGCCAGGCGTGGTGGCGGGTGCCTGTAGTCCTAGCTACTTGGGAGGCTGAGGCAGGAGAATGGTGTGAACCTGGGAGGTGGAGCTTGCAGTGAGCCGAGATCACGCCACTGCACTCCAGCCTGGGTGACAGAGTGAGACTCCGTTCAAAAAAAAAAAAAAATTATCCTGCCTCAGCCTCCCAAGTAATTGGGATTATAGGCATGTGCCACCATGCCCAGCTGATTTTTGTATTTGTAGTAGAGACGGGGGTCTCACCATAACATGTTGACCAGCCTGGTCTTGAACTCCTGACCTCAGGTGATCTGCCTGCCTCGGCCTCCGAAAGTGCTGGGATTACAGGCATGAGCCACCATGCCTGGCCAATTTGGCACAATTCTTAAACTGCAAGTGGTTATAGAAACTTACAGTGCTCCCAGTGGCAAAGTTGTATATATACTTTACTATATATAAATAAAGATAGATAGATGATAGATAGATAGATAGATAGATAGATAGATAGATAGATAGATAGATGATAGACAGATCACACACACACACACACACACACACACACACATACACACAGCTTATAAAATTGTGGACCTTTTCTCATTACTTAAAATATAGAAGGCACCCATGATTCCAATGCACATAATACACATTAATACCCAACAGACACAAATACCACACATTTTACTCAAGACAGCACAACATTCTCATCTCGTTATATTATCAGAAGAAAACTATCCCTTAAAAGACAAGTTTTTGAAATTCAATGACCTTAAGACGTTTCCATGTCAGAATGGATTTCAAAAATGAATCTCTACCACTCCCAATAATATCACTTTCCATTATGAAGAAATTCCTGCCCTCAAGTATCATAAATATTGAGTCCTAATAGCAGAACACATGAGGATTTAACCATGGCAAGAATTTTTGTTAGAATATATTGATCTTAAACAGATAACCAGGCCCAAACCACAGACAACTGTTAAGTCTAACTCTGTTGCGTTGTCAGCCACTGTATCCTATGTGATACTGGCAATAATTAAACATAGGATTTAAACTCCAAATCACAAACAGCTTACACTCAGCTGCACCACTCAAGCTATAACTAGGCCACACAAAATATCACTGACTCAATTAAGTGTACGTGGGAAGCTCACCCTGGGTCCTTTTCTCAACATTAAATTGATTTTACATTTAATTTTCTTTGTGGTAAGAAAAAAAAGAGGAGCAAGAAATAAGCAGCAATGTTGGCCGGCAGGTGTGGTTTTGCATATTTCTTATTCAGAGACCTAGCCTGCGGTTTCAGTTCTGATGGAGTGTTTTGTCTAACTGTCTGGGCTGCAACGTGTGTCGTCCCACAATTTGTCACACCATAAGAGTTGCATATTTGGGGACAGAGATAGCACATAACATATGGCAAAATGTACTAACCTTGCCAATCAAGATCTTTGGCCGCGGGTAATTTCTTAAACTGAATGTCATGAACTCATCAGAATTCTGGTGCCCATTGAGGAATGGGTGAAAACCTCTACCAGCCAGAGTCAGCCTGGAAGACACGCTTGTTAAAACCCACAAAATGTAAATGGCTAAAGAGTTTTCATACGGTAGTAACTTTTTGAATGATTCTTTGGAGAAAACAATGTCTGGAAAAGAAAGATTTTACTACCAGATGCAGGTTGCAGCGGAAAAAAACCTTAATGGTGTTAGGATGTCTTAAAAAATATCTACTACTGATTTTTTTCCCATTCAACATTTGTTTTATGCAGTTGTGCTGGTGAAATGTCTTTAGAGAAAATTGCACAGTTTACAGGATAATGGAGTCAGCCAGTTGAACCAAGCCTTGCAGACAATGCAGGGTCGATTGATTAAGCATGCTCTCATCAGAATGATTCCATGCGGTCAGGAGTAGGCATCTGGGAAGCTTCTCTTTTTAAAAATCATACTACTGGCATTCTGCTTATTTTTATCCACAAGAGAAAAGTAATTATGAGCTTTTGAGTAAACAGGAGAGAGAAGCCACACAAAAATATGGGCCTGCCAACGCGGAGAAGCAATGGAGAAGAGACTTGCGGGAGATTAATGTTGGGGACAGAAAGGGAAGGCTAGAAATGTTGAAGGGCAAGTCAGAAAACCTTCCAAAATAATTTTTAAAAAGATATTCAGGCCAGGCGCAGTGGCTCACACCTATAATCCCATCACTTTGGGAGGGTGAGGTGGGCGGATCACTTGAAGTCAGGAGTTTGAGACCAGCCTGGCCAACATGGTGAACTCCTGTCTCCACTAAAAATACAAAAATTAGCCGGGAGTGGTGGTGGGTGCCTTTAATCCCAGCTTCTTGGGAGTCTGAGGTAGGAGAATCGCTTAAACCTAAGAGGCAGAGGCTGCAGTAAGCAGAGATAGTGCCACTGCGCTCCAGTCTGGGTGACAGAGCAAGACTGTGTCTCAAAAAAAAAAAAAAAAAGATATTCAGAGTATCGTAAAGGGGAGGATGGAAGAAAAACCACCTGGGCCCCTCTGGGAGCTCTTTCTTCCTGAGTCATAAAACCCTTCTGGTTTTCCCTTCTCTGGAACCACTGTCCACAATCTAGAAACAATGTGTTCTTATTTCCAGTTTTGGAAAAATAACCATGAAAATAATGTTAGGGTAGTTTTAATACAAAAGAGAGGAAATTTTCATTGCAGCAAATTAATCTGGATATTGGAGAAGTGGCCGAATGCTAAGATAGTGGGGAAACAGCAGTGACAATTGTGTCCCCAAAAGTACTACTCCTTGTTTTTGGTCCCAGCCGCCTGCACATGTGCTTTGGTCTTACATAGGAATGGTTAAGAATGGGTTTGCTTTAGAGTTCATTCAATGGAACAAATATCTATTGCATATTTACTATGGCCTTCCTGCAGATTTAGGGATGTGGCATGGACAGATTTTCTAAGGCAGCGCCAGGACTTTGATCTTCCAGGGGCCCTGGCATCTGTTCTTGTCATCTGCACATTCATACGCATGTAGCAAGGCAAACAGCAAGACCAAGGAACAGCAATCTGAATCCCCAATGAGTTGTATGGTTTGCCTAAGCTAACAGAGTTGAGATTTCCGCTTATTGCAATGATAGCATCTCGCTAACGCAAGCCAAGAGGCAATCAACTCATTTGGATTATAAAATATTCTATATGCTTCTAAACAGAGAATACTGTTTTAGAGATGAATCCTAAATTTCCTAGGCTTGCTGGACTTTGTTTGCAGTATTATGGGCCAAATTGTGATGGTTCTCAGCCCCTGCATGGAACGTTCACCAGCATCTCCTCAAAGGTTCTCCCCAGTTAACAAAAGGGTGCCAGGGTAGTTGCAGCTTCTGGTGCTCAGGAACAAGCCCACCCTTCCTCTCCTGCTCAAGTTTCGTGCCACCATGAGGTGCTGGCGGCCACTGTGAGAGCCTTGCCCTGCAATGCCTGGCTTTCCTCTGTAGCAGCATCTCTGAGATTTCAGAATGCCAGCGCTACAGGGAGGCTAGCATGGCCCACATGCCAAATCTTGCACGCTGGGCTAAGAAGCCACTTGCTCAACCCCAAGCCTCCAAGATGTTTCACGAACACAGATCCTGTGGCTTTTGTCCTAAGCTATTTCGTGGGGGGGGCATGTGCTTTCCAGCTTGCCAGCCTGCCCAATCCACTCTGTTTCATTCCTCTCTGGCCCCCATAGGCCATTCATTTGTGAGCCCTCCATTCAACCAGTGGATTGGCTGCTGGTGAAACTGCAAGTACTGTAGCAAGTTATGGAGAAGGGGAATGGTTTGGGGGAGGTAGGGGATGTCTACTACCCCCTAAGGTCCCACTCTGGGAAGTCATCTTCACCATGGAAACATTCCCCTCCCAGACTCTGGAAAGACCGATGGTTCACTCTGGGTAAGAGTCACGGGGTTAAAGATGATGTCCATCTAGATGGGAAGGGGATGTAGGTTGGGAGACCATGGTTCTGTGTCTGTCTCTGTCATTCACTGGCTGTCTTACCTGTAGTGGTCACCCCACCTCTCTAGGCCTTGTCAATAGAATCAGGGTCTCACCCAGCAGGTGTCTGAGTTCTTTTTGAGCTCTCAATGTTCTAAGGATGTGATACTGTGATACAAAATGGAGTCAGTTTTCTATCTTTTGATGAGAAAGCTTTATACTTGTCAATAAAGGAATCATTATTATCTAAGTCAGGAAAGTTTTTACAGCATTTAAAATATATACAAAAACCCAAGAGAAGTGAAAACATGACCACAGACCACACAAAAATTTGTTTATGAAGGCTTATATCAGCATTCTTCATAAGAGCCCAAAATGTGGAAATAACCCAAAAATGTCTATCAATTGATGAATGGATGAACAAAATGTGGTATAATCATACAATGAAATATATATATATATATATATATATATATATATATATATATATATATATATTTTTTTTTTTTTCCTTTAAGTTAGACTTGCTTTAGACAATGTAGTATTATTTGGCAATAAAAGGGAATAAAGGATTGGTACATAACTACAACATGTGTGAACCTTGAAAACAGTATGCTAAGGAAAGAAGCCAGACATACACACAAACACACTCGCACACACACACACAAGGCCACATACTGTATGATTCTATTTATATGAAATGTCCAGAATTGGCAAATCCATAGAGACAGAAAATAGATTCGTGGTTGCCAAGGGCTGTGGGGAGCGGTGAATAGGGAGTGGGTGCTAATGTGTAAGAAGTTTTCTGGGCTGGGTGCAGAGGCGCACGTCTGTAATCCCAGCACTTTGGGAGGATGAGACAGGTGGGCCTGGGCAAGATGGGGAAACTCTGTCTCTATAAAAAATACTAAAATTAGCTGTATGTGGTGGTGCACGCTGATAATCCCAGCTATTGGTGGGGGAAGCGGGCTCTGCGAGGGAGGTGGAAGGATAGCTTCAGTCCGGGAGGCCAAGGCTGCAACAAGCCAAGACCATGCCACTGCACTGCAGCCTGGGTGACAGAGAGAGATCCGGATCCTGTCTCAAAAAAAAAAAAAGTTTTCTTTTATTTAATTGTCTAGTATGAATATGTCACATTGTGTTTATCAATCATCAGTTGATGGACAATTGGGTTGTTTTTGCTTTTGGGTTATTATTAATAATGCCGCTATGACCATTCATGTATGTTTTTGTATAAACATATGCCTTCAATTCTCCTGGGTATATACCTAGGAGTGGAGCTGGGTCATATGGTAACTTTGTGTTTAACTTGTAGAGGTACTGGAAACTGTTTTCCAAAGTGGCTGCACAATTTTATATTCCCTCTAACAATGTATGAAGGTTCCAGTCTCCACAGCCATGCCAACGCTTGTTATTTTCCATTTAAAAGAAATTTATTATAGCATCCTAGTGAGTGTGAAGTGGTATCTAATGTGGTTTTGATTTTTACTTCCCTGACGGCTAATTATGTAGAGCATCTTTTCATGTGTGTATTGGCCATTCGTATATTAGAGAAGTGTCTATTCACATGTTTTGACCACTTTTAAGTTGAGCTATTTGTCTCTTTATTGTTGAATAGTAAGAGTCCTTCATATATTTTAGATACTAGACCCTTACCCAATATAAGATTTGCATATATTTTCTCCCATTCTGTAGGTTGTTTTTTTACTTTCTTGATAGTCTCTTTTGACACACAAAAATGTTTAATTTTGATGAAATCTGATTTTTCTCTCTTTTTTTAGTTGCTTGTGCTTTCAACATCATAACTAAAAAACCATTGCCAGCCAGGTGCAGTCGCTCACGCCTGTAATCCCAGCACTTTGGGAGGCTGAGGCAGGCAGATTACTTGAGGTCAGGAGCTCAAGACCAGCATGTCCAACATGGTGAAACTCCATCTTGACTAAAAATAAAAAAATTGGCTGGGTGTGGTGGCCCACACCTGTGGTCCCAGCCACTCAGGAGACTGAGGCAGGAAAATCGCTTGAACCCGGGAGGCAGAGGTTGCAGGGAGCCCACATCACACCACTGCACTCCAGCCTGGGTGACAGAGCAAGATTCTGTCTCAAAACAAAAACAAAAACAAAATTGCTAAATCCAAGGTCGCAAAGATATATACCTGTTTGCTTCTAAGGGTTTTACACTTTTAGCTTTTACACTTGGGTCTTTTGATCCATTCTAATTCTTGTATATGGTGTGAGGTAGGGTTCCAGATTCATTTGTTTGCCTGTGGATAAGCAGTTGTACCAGCACCAATTGTTGAAAAGAAACATTCTTAACCTATTGAATGGGCTTGATATTCTAGTTGAAAATCAATTACCATAGATGTATGGGTTTATTTTTGGAATCTCAATTCTGCTCCATTAGTCTCTATGCCTAGTCTCTGCCAGCACTACACTGCCTTGTTTACTTAAGCTTTGTAGTAAGTTTTGAAATCAGGAAGTATGAATCTTCAATTTTGTTCATTTTCAAGATTGTTTTGGTTATTCTGGGTTAAAAACTTATAATACACCTTCCATCCACTTTGAGAAACTGTGTTCTCTCTCTGAGATGCCCTATAAAGAAGTAAAGAGACCAAACAATAATGACATTATTCCAGACTATTCTGTACTTTACCTGTATACCCTTGCTTCTCTGACTTGGGTAAACTGCTCAGTCTGAAAGTACAAAAGAATATCTCTTTCTCTCTCTCTCTCTCTCTCTCTCTCTCTCTTTCTTTCTCCCTCTCCCTCTCCATTTCACTACATATCCCCATGGACTCGTACAATATTTCCCCATCTGTAAAACCCAGAACCCATGTCCATATAAACACGGTAAAAGGCACCTATGTTCCCTTTCTGCCAATGTCATGCTTCCTGTACACATTCTATGATAATTCTAAAAAGGCTAGAATCCCTTCGAGTCTTGTATTTCTCATAAAGAACAAGTTTAGGCCTTGGGCCAACTATTTCCACTTGGGTTTAATGCCTATGAGAAGTTTAACTCTTTCTAGAGAATCAAAATAGCACACAGCGGTTTCAAAGTGAAAATAAGAAAATCAGGTGCTAATTTGAGAGTCAGAGGTGATGTACATTTCTGAAAATAAATTAGTTGTTTCTTTATCCACATTTGAAATCAAATGGAAATAAAGGACTTAAACTATCTGTTCTTCACAGATAAAATGCTGTATGGTCATGACCCTGGGAATAATCCTATGTTTGACTTGGGTGCTTTGCAGAATCTAAAAAATAGAAATGTATGGTTCTGTCTGTGAGTTGATCCTGGAGTCAGTACCTCAGCCCTTTTTGTTCTGATCAATACATGTCATTAAACTGGATATAACAAGGGTTTTCAAAAATGTTACAGGAAAGCCTAAGGCAGCATGAACAATCTGGCACTATCAGGGCCACAAGAAGCACCCAGCTGCTCTCTCAAAGTTTAACAGCTATACTGGGGGCAATCAATTTGGTTCTAAGGGCCTTTTCTGCTTTAATTGGCTTTCCTAGAACGTGCCTGAAGGTCCCTGTAACAGCAGCCACACAAGAGAAAAGCATGAGCCCAGGCGAACCTGCTGCTTCAACTGCTCCCTCAATCCCGCCCTCTTCAATTGAGGAGCTGCCCTCCACTAAAGGAAGACATCAAGTCCTGGAGGCAAGGAAGGCCTGTATTTAAAGAGGCACTGACTTTAGGCAGCTGTGACTCCTCTATCCCTTTATCCTCTATAACAGAAACAACTCTCAAGAAATTCTCCGAAATGAAAATAACCTCAGCTGAGGAACTTCAATTTGGAGAGACTGGATGTGTTCAGTTTAGGACAGAAAATGTTATGAGATACCACAGATCTATGAACCCACAACTGGCTTGCATGGGATAAAAAGTAGCACGCTTTAACTTCTAAATATATTCTTCAAATACCAGGCCAAGTTCAAACAGAAACTAACATGAGATGGGGAATTTAATATTATTACCTAATCCTGGAAAGTAAAATGAAACAGACAACAATATTACAGTTGCAACCCTAGCTGTAAGGTTAGGACCGATTTAGAGGGAAAAAATGTATATTTTTAGATTCTATTTCACAGGATATCCAATAATATGGCAAACATTGGGATCAGATTTGATGACAAATAATGCTGGCCATGAGAAGCAGCAGGTGGCATGATTCTAAACATGTTTTGGGTGTGTCTCATTATTAAAATATTCTAGAATAGCAAAGAGAGTTCAATGGAGGTGTCAGCCCTGTGCTGGTTCCCAGTAGCTATGGAAGTCCTTGAGTTTGCTGTTCTGTGTCCATTTAAACCTTTCAGCCTAAGTTTCTTTCTTTTTTTCTTTTTTTTTCCGAGACAGAGTCTTGCTCTGTCACCCAAGCTGGGGTGCAGTGGTGCGATTTCTGCTCACTGCAACCTCTGCCTACCGGGTTCAAGCAATTATCCTGCCTCAGCATCTTAAGTAGCTAGGATTACAGGTGCATGCCACCACGCCCGGATAATTTTTTGTTGTTGTTGTTGAGACAGAGTTTTGCTCTTGTTGCCCAGGCCGGAGTGCAATGGTGAAATCTCGGCTCACCGCAACCTCTGCCTCCCGGGCTCAAGCAATTCTCCTGCCTCAGCCTCCCAAGTAGCCGGGATTACAGGTGTGTGCCATCATGCCTGGCTAATTTTTTTTTTTTTTTTTTTTGTATTTTTAGTAGAGACGGGGCTTCTCCATGTTGGTCAGGCTGGTCTTGAACTCCTGACCTCAGGGGATCCACCTGCCTCGGCCTCCCAAAGCGCTGGCATTACAGGCGTGAGCCACCGAGCCCGGCCAATTTTTGTATTTTTAGTAGAGACAGGGTTTCACCATGTTGGCCAGACCAGGCTGGTCTCGAACTCCTGACCTTGTGATCCACTCATCTCAGCCTCCCAAAGTGCTGGGATTACAGGCGTGAGCCACCGTGCCCCGCCGCAAGTTTCTTTCGAAGATTCCCTTTCTTCCTCCCCACTTTGACCATCCCACAATGCCTCCTGAGGTGTGTGAGTGGATCTCCCTCAGAGACGGCAACCCTGTCAGCCTTTCGTCCTCTTCCCTCCTCGACTTCAGCCTGGGCTTTCCCAGAGAAATTTTTCCTCAGGAGTTTGCCTTTCTCTATCCCGTTGAAAATCACACTCCTGGAGAGAAGATCAGAGGAGCATGACCCTGTAAAAATCAGTCTGCTTGGGAATTACTTTTGACTCTGGGCAGGGATCACGACAGGGTCCAAAATAGCAGCTTATTCCTCTCTCCGGGGAAAACATAAGCCTGAATTGGTCTGACACCACACAAAGGGTTTAACTCAAACATAAACCAAGAGCAGCCTAACAACCACAGATTTGTGATAATGTTACAAAGAGAACGTTCTAGAACCTCTCTCCAAACCACTGACACTTTGTGATGGGACTTATAAGGCTTAAACACAGGTCTGTTAAAACACACAGATTTTAAGGTTAAACAAGCAAACAATGGAAGTGGAATCTGAATTGAATTTTTAAAAAAACACACAAGGAAGGCTTAGAGCTGTGCTCATTAACCAGCACCACTGTGGCCACTAGCCATATGTGGTTGTTGCACACTTAAAATGTAGCCCGTGTGACTGAGGAACTGAGTTTTAAATGTTACTTAATGTCAATTAATTTAAATGTAAATTTAAAAATGGAAGCAGTGTAAAATATTTTTCTGGTAGACACAACTTTATTGCTCTGGTGGGACTTGATTTTAACTGTTGTATCAGGTAAGATATTAGTGTTGCAGCGTACATGTTATTAGCACATGTGTTATTTCTGGTATTCATTATTAACTTTGAAAATATTGATTACATGTTAAAATGTAATATTTTGCATATATTGGGTTAGGTAAAGCATATTGTTAAAATTAATTTCACCTGTTTATTTTTCTTTTTTGACATGGGATCTTACTATGTTGCTCAATCTGAAATCAAACTCCTG
The DNA here is from genome assembly GCF_000001405.40 of Homo sapiens. Classification (NCBI taxonomy): domain Eukaryota; kingdom Metazoa; phylum Chordata; class Mammalia; order Primates; family Hominidae; genus Homo; species Homo sapiens. The sequence goes on along the minus strand of NC_000002.12, from coordinate 32,902,522 downwards.
GGCTCAAGCAATTCTCCTGCCTTAGCCTCCCTAGTAGCTGAGACTATAGGTAAACTTTGGAATATGACAAATCTAAATTCAAATCCTGATCCCAAGCATTACTAGCTGTGTGACCTAGAACAAGTTTCTTAACACCTCTGAGCTTCAGTTTCCTCATCTCTAGAATGGGGTGATAACTGTACTGTCCTCACAGAGACATTGGGAGGATAATAAGAGAAAGCTGTGAAAAGGTGATCAATATATTTCAGCTAATAAGCTCCCAAGCCTCCTTCTTCCTGGCCTTGTATCATGTCTGTGGTTTTATGATAATGTCAAGGCTTCTTCTGGTCTCTGTGTTAGTGTAGCGCTACGAACCTGGCCTCTGAAGTCACAGTACCACGATTCAAATTCCAGTTTTACCTCTTGTTAGCTGTGCAATCGAAGACAAGTTGTTTAACCTTTGAAGCCACTGTTTTCTCATCTGTTGAGAGAGAGACAGAGACAGAGAAAATGAAAAGACTCTCTTTCCCAGGATGCTTGTGGGGATGATGGGACAGATTCAGAGGCTGAGTTTATGAACTCTTTCAGGGGCTGTTAGCCTGCATATAAATGCAGGTAAAAACTAAGAAAGATGGTTAATAAAATTGCAACAAAATCATGATCTTTTTCAGCCTCTTTCCCTACCTCTACCCTACCCCACCCTGAGGAAATCTGCTGGGACCCCAAAGCCCTCACACCTTTTGTGAATGCCCAAAGGCGTCTCATGGGCCCCTCCCAGCTGCCTCCAGAGAATCCTCTCCTTGTCACTGGAAGTTCTGCTTAGGTCTCCCCGGCTGCACTATTCCCTGGTCCACTCTGATGGCCCTGTGGGGCTTGCTGTGGTGAAGCCAGTCTTTCTCCCATGCCAGTTATGCTGAGCTGGAGGAAATGCCCTCCACATGCCAGCACTGTGGTCTGTAACTTGGCCACAGATTACCTGCTGAGCCTCAATTTTCTCCCCTGTAAAATGGGGCAATAACTGTGTCACCCTCATAGAGACGTTGGGAGGATGAATTAGCTAAAGCTGCAAACACGTGACCACGTGGGCCTGGCCCTTCCAGTCCTTCCGCTGACAGCCTCTTGCTTCACTCTGGTCTCCCACTTTCGAAATCCTCCCCACCCTCGCCCTGCTGAGGACCACAGTCCTGGGGTCAGACTGCTTGGCCATACTCCTCACCAGCTTTGAACGGGGGATTGTAGGGGAGGGGACAATGTCTTGAGCAGCCATCAACTCTGTGTGTCCATCTTCTTATCTCCTGTGAGGTTCTCTGGGCACTGGGCAGAGAGTTCTAGAGAGGGGTTCCAGCCTTACTCAAAGACCCCTCCAGACTGCTACTTCTCCCTCAGCCCTCATCCCCATCTAGCTCCCATGACCTCCCAAGTCCCTCTGCAACTGTTTTCTAATTCATCCTTCTCTTCCCACTGCACTGCCTCAGTTCAGACCCTCAACATCTCTCCCTGGAATGAAGTTCCTCTTGTGACTGGTCCCTGCTTTCAGTTTTGCCCTAATCTGATCCATCCTCCCATCTACCATCCACGCAACTGCGCATCTGCCATTGTTCCCCTGCTTGAAACCCTTCAGTTCCCACCCCACCCCTAAGCTCCTTAACATGGCTTGCAAGCCCCTCTGGGCTCTGCTTGTCACTTCCCTGGCTCTTTCCTCTTTCAGGGAGCTTTGCCTGGAGAGATACGACACACACAGTGAGCTGTTTCCCACCTCCATGCCTCGGCTCACCCTGTCCTGCTGCCTGGAATGCCTGTCCCTTGTCCCTGCTGCCTTTCTTTGCTGGACCTGCTCTAATTCCACTTCGCTTTACAACAAACCTATTTGTGTCTATTTCTTTTTCTTAGCCATGAATTCCCTTAGGTAGAGCATTGCATTCTATTCATATTTATATCTCATAACGCAGTTGCTGCCAGAAGGTAAATGTGTGTTGAATGAATGGGGGGCGGGCGGCACATGATAACTTTAAACGAGCGTGACAGGGTGGGATTTTCCTCCCTTCTCACCCTCCTCTGCCCTGCGTCCCCACCCTTTGCTGGGAAAATATCTTTTGCACAATGAAGCAGAGGCAGCTGTTAGCATAATAACTCATGGATGCACTGCTATGAAAAGTGGTTAATATTTGCAGGATAAATGTGGTTTGGGCTGTGGGGAGTTTCTCTGGGAAGAAACTAAATAATCTACTCCTGCCTCTGACTGAAAGGCATTAGCTGTGAACCCGGGGTCCTGGGAAGAGTGGGTCCAATGGGCAGAGGGGACTGGGGCTGACGGGACACAGAGAGAAGAAAAATTCATTAGCCTCCAGAGTGGGCTCTAATATGGACTGGCAGTGACATGGCAGAAAAGGAAGCAAGTATCTGTCCCTGTCCTCACCCTTAACAAAGTCATCTCACATAAATAAGAGTTCATTTAAAAATAAATAAATAGTAAAACAAAAGGGAGGTGATTGAGAGAAGGGATACCCCAGTCTCCATGATGTGATTATTACACACTGCAGACCTGTATCAAAACATCTCATGTACTCCACAAATATATACACCTACAGGGTACCCACAAGAAACTTAAAAAAAAAATTGGCTGGGTGCAGTGGCTCACACCTGCAATCCCAACACTTGGAGGCAGAGGCGGGAGGATTGCTTGAGCCCAAGAGTTTGAGACCAGCCTGGGCAACATGGTGAAACCCGCCTCTACAGAAAATATAAAAATTAGTCCGGTGTGGTGGTGCACACCTGTAGTCCCAGCTACTCAGGAGGCTGAGGCAGGAGGATTGCTTGAGCCTGGGAGGAAGAGACTACATAAGTCAAGATGGCGCCACTGCACTCCAGCCTGGGCAACAGCACAAGACTTTGTATCAAAAATAATTTTTTAAAATTAAATAATAAATATTCCTCCCAAAAAAACCATAGTTGATATTTGTAGTTTAAAATGACAGAATTGTCTTCTGGAGTTATATAGAAAGTAAAGGTTTTCTTACCATCCATCCATCTAAGAGACTGCATGCAGTTACATTCCTATTGACACCATTAACCTCCAGGTCAAAATTCAGATGCCCAAGTCCCAGTCTCCCCACTTGCAAAAACAGCAAGGCTTATAACTTTACCATAGGTCAACTCAATGAACGAAAGCACCATAGTATAGTGGTGAGGACAACAGAGTAAGAAACAGATTCTAATGTGAACTCTGCCAATAATCTGCAATGTGACCTTTTCCTAAGTTAAAACTTTCCCAGATGTCAGGTTTTTTTATATGTTCAATGGGGCTATTACTACTTGTTATACTGAGTTCAGAGGGATGTTGAAGAGACAAAATGAGGCACTAGATTCAAAAGCCCATCAAAAAGGTTAGATGCTGCGCATATTCAGATACTGTTTTTTTTTGACCCATTGATTAAATAACTAATGTTTGAAAGCTTTATTTGTTCCATGGGCTGTAGAGTAGGTGCCTAACTGACGCAGGTACCTATGTGTTGGTAGAGGGACAAAGGGGAGGTGGCATGGGGGAGAAGCAAGAGGAGGGAATGTGGAAATGAGAAAGATGTGTCCTTTGTCACAGGGGAGATGAAAGCCCATAGAGCAATGTCTCATGCAGAGGGTGTTAAGCACCAAAGAAAACAGGTAAAGTATTTCTAGAGGAGGGATTACTTCTCATCACGGAGATCACTGTCATTCACAACCAGCCACACTAAGCTCCTTGGGGGTTAGTGGAGGCACATGGATTTGGGGAAGTCAGCTCTATTCTCTATAGGTTTTATTCTGATGTACATCAGATCCAAAGTTAGGTTAACTGAGTGAGATGGTATTACAGCTGTTTAGAGAACACTGTAGCCAAAAGGTCTGATTCCATAAGAAATAAACCCACCTGTCAAGGAGAAAGAAAGCAACAGCAAGCTCATCACAGACACACGAGACACCATCCAAGTGACTTTCAGTGATCCTTTTCCAGCCTGAGCTTAAACATACACCTGCATAAAGAGAAAAATGGAGAATGAGTCCAAGGGCTTGGAGCTGAAGGGAACAAAGAAAGGTCATTTGGGAAAAGTGCAGCAGCTGTTTTCAAAACGGCCTGAGCTTTTTCTCTGTACCCAAGGGAATATGGTACTGAAAGCGAGTCTCTTCTTCTCCCATTACTGGGTGTTCACTAAGCCTCAACAGCATCCACAGTCCTTTGGGACTAACCTGGGGCTTATGTGGAGACAAGAAGTAGAAAAGTTTCCCTGTAATCCCACCACAAATACTTCCTCTGACTCCAACGGGCTCTCACAGTAATTTCAGCTACGGGGCTTCTCACCATTTCTTTGTGATCAAGAGCTTAGTCCAGGCTCTGACATTTTGGTCAGGAACACTTGTCCCTTAAATTCCTCCCTGAGTTTTCCTTTGCTCCCTTCCTTTCCTTTCTACCTAGTCTCTGAAGGCTGCATTACAAATGCTCCCTCTTGGGTGTGCTTCGGACTATTTATGAGTCCCACACATCCTTTGATTGTCTGTCAGTCAAGCTATTAACAGGGAGGGACTGATACATTATAAATGTCAACTGTGGGAATAAAGCTGAACACATCTATAGCCCTTCTCGGTGTTCCTTCAGTTATTTTGAGGAAACACTCTTATTCTAAAGTGGTGTGTCAGCTGGGATCTGGCCTCCCCTGTGGCTTTTGAAGCATGCCCTTTGGGTCTGTGTTACTCTCTTCCATTCTCACTTATATTGTCTGTTTCACAATACCTTGTCTCTAGAAGAGTATCTAGAAAACTGGTAGTGGTTGCACACACACCAAAATCCCAGACTTTTAATTCAGATTTTAAAAATATTCTCATTGTTTGCTGTGTATATTAGTTTACTTTACCTGCTGTGACAAATTACCACAAACTTAGTGGCTTCAAATAACACACTTTTATTCTCCAATAGTTCTGGGGGTCAGAATGTAAAATCAGTTACATTAGCCCAAGATCATGGCATCGGTAGGGTTGCACTCCTTCTGGAGGCTTTTGGGGAGAATCCTTTTTCTTATCTTTTGAGCTTCTAGAGATGTACTCTTTGCATTCCTTGGCTTGTGGCCCCTTCCTCCATCTTCAAAGCCAATACCTCAGCCTCTTGCCTTAATGTCCCATTTCTTTATATGGTGTCAAGTCTCCCTCTGCCTCTCTCTTATAAGGTCATTTGTGATTGCATTTAGGTCCCACCAAGTTAATCTAGGATACTCTCTCCATCGAAAATTCCTTGACTTAATCACATCTACAAAGCCTGTTTTGACACATTACATTAGTATTCACAGGTGTTAGGGATTAGGACCTGGATATCTTTGGTGGCCACTATTCAGTCTACTACACTGTGGCAAATGCACAGTAATTTACAGCATTTACCTTCTGCTGGGGATCTGAAACACTGCTCAGGAAACATGCTACACCCCTTGGTTCTCGCTGGCATAGTATGGATTTAGGATAACCCACTGTCTTAGTCTGTTTTGTGCTGCTATAACAGAATACCTGAGACTGGGTAATTTATAATGAACAGAAATTGACTGGCTCACAATTCTGGAAGCTGGGAAGTCCAAGAGGGGCCGGCATCCGGAGAGGGGCTTCTTGCTGTGCCATCCCAAGGTGGAAGGGCAAAAGAGAGAGAGATAAAAGGGGGCCAGACACACCCTTTTATAACAAACCCATTTCCATGATAACAGTATTAAACCATTTCTGCCTGAGGTTGCAATTTTTTGAATTTTTGCCAATCAGACCTTGAGCAGTAGATATAAATAACTCCTACATGCTTAGTGTTCCAATAATGGAACACTAGGCATAAATGGGTTTTAATCCATTTACTTCCCCCTTATGGCCTAATCACCTCTCATTAGGCCCCAACTCCCAACAATGCTGCCTGAGTATTAAGTTTCCAACATGCAGATTTTGGGAGGCATTCAAACCATAGCACCTACCATCATGCAGTTAGAGAAAAATGGGTTAAAAAAATCTAAGCATCATTAGTGCAGAAAACCTTTTTGTGTTAATTATGATGAGGCATCACTAAAAACAACAACAAAAAAGAACAAAACCCTTCCACTTCAGCAGCTCCAGATTCTAGGTTTGCAATCTCTGGGAGAAGTAGATGGAAGTGTTCCAGAAGAGACCACTCTCCAGGCCCACTCTTAACATATTTACAAGGCCAGTACAGGAGAACAAATGAAGGCCGGCATAGCATATGTCTAGAATGTTTAAAAACATAAGCCAAGCTAGCATAATATTAAATAAAATATGTTCTTTCCTTCTACTTTGGCCAATAGACCTTCACAATGACCCGAAAGCTGTATTTGAACTTAAAAATTTGGGATTTCCCATGTTTTAGCAGGGAATTTTGAGGTTACATATGAACAGCCATTCATAGCTTCTGGCCCCTGGTTATTCCTCTCTTCTCTTCCCATCTTTCTATCCAGCACTTCCAGGTGCTTATAGTCATGTGTGAACCTGCCAACCCACACATCTGAAGCTCCATCTTCAACCCCCATAAAGAGCTGTTTCTTGGCCAACTGTCAGGGCTAGGGGTTAGTTCAGCAGCAGCACTGTCTGCCCTTATACAGGCAGACCAAAGAAAGAGGACTGAGCAGGCCCTTGAAGAGCTAATTCATTCCTCTTTCAGGGTCAGGTGGGCAGAGAATTCAGAATTCTAAGAAGGCAGATCATGAACTAGAACAGTACTTATCTGGTGAAAAATGCTTTTTTTAAAAAGTTCACTCTACTGTGGATCCACATTTTTGTAAAATATAATTTAAATATTTCAGCAGTGTTAAATTGCCATAAAAAGTACCACTTACTCTCACTTTCTATACTTAGCTCATCCTGGACCAGCAGTAAACAGATCAAACTTTGCGTGCCATTAGACTAGAAGATGAGGCATGGGTGAATTCCTGTTCCATGCTGCATCTCAAGTCACCACCAACTTAATGCCTTACAACAACACATGTCCATTATCTCATGATTTCCTTGGGTCAAGAGTCTGAGTGTGGCTTAACTGGTTCCTCTGCTCAGGGTCTCACTGGACTGCAGTCAAGGTGTCAACCAGGGCTGCAGTTTCATCTGAGGTTCAGAGTCCTCTTTCAAGCTCAAATGGTCATTGGCAGAATTCATTTCCTTGTGGCTATAGAACTAATGGCAACTTGATTCTTCAAGACCAGCAGATTCTCTCTTTTCATGAAGGGTTCAGCCCTCTTTTAAAGGATTTCACCTTACTAAGTAAGGTCCATCCAGGACAATCTTTTTTTGTTGACTTATAGTTAACTGATGAGAAACGATAATTATATCTGCAAATCCCTCCACTTTTGCCATATAATGTCACCTAATCATGGAGTGTGATTCATAGGTCACACTCACACTCAAAGAGGGGGAAGATAGAGAGTGCGTGAATCTTGGGTGCCATCTTAGAATTCCTTCTACCACAGTGGGCTTAAGGGGGGCACAACCCTTTAGCCCGTGGACTCCTCTTCTCATAGAGAGAAAAAGTCTAGAGTATGACCCTCTAAAGCTCAGGAAAAGGGCAGAGATCCCTCATGACACAGTCTCAGAGAGATACTGCACCCTCCCTAACAGTTTAGGATTGGATCTGTGTCAACATCTCCTTCACGTAGCCCAGACTCCAATGCTAAAATATACTCCTTCCAAGGACTTCTCGCTGCATTTCTTCTAACATTTCCTGCCTTTGCCTAACCATAGTAGTTACTTTTGAACAAACAGGATTTTCTTTTTTCATTCCTATTTTTTTTTTATTTCTTGAGACAGGGTCTCGCTCTGTCCTCAAAGCTGAAGTGGCTGGAGTACTGTGGTGTAGATATGGCTCACTGCAGTTTCAACCTCCTGGGCTCAAGCAGTCCTCCATCTCAGCCTTCCAAACAGCTGGGACCACAGGCATGTGCTACCACAACTGGCTAATTTTTAATTTTTTTGTAAAGACAGGATCTCACTATGTTGCCCAGGCTGGTCTTGAACTCCTGGGCTCAAACAATCCTCCCACCTTGGCCTCCCAAAGTGATTCACAGGCATAAGCCACTGTGCCTGGCCCAAACAGAAAGGATTTTCACAACCGTATTACATCTATATTTTATAATTCTGGGGTTACAAATAGTTGTTTGCTTGGAGACTTATCATTCATATTCCTCTTTGGAGGTCTTCCAAAGAGTTATACAGGCCTGCCTATACACATCACTGAAGATATTCTTGTTATGTTATCAGTAAGCGCCAGAAAGCTCCAATTCCCTCTCTATCAGAGGGTGAGAGTTCATCTGGGCTACCTTGTTTATATTCTTAGAGATTACTGCAGGATCAGTGTGTGACCATCATTCTCATTCAAAGCATGGTAACTCTGCTATACATCCATGAGATTCTAACGCAAAATGACCGATTAATTAAACAAGCTAACAGAAGATTACATATTCAAGTGAGTTTCAGCCTTCAACATAGCTCCCTTGGGAGACCATACTCTTACACTAATGAGGCTGCAATTGCATAAATCATTTTTGGAATTCCTCTTTGGGAAGAATCTTCAAAAGCCTGTGGCCTACGCTTTTTAATAACCCAGTGGTAACAAATCTTCATCCACTAATAGTGAATTCGATTTTTGGCAACAATGATATCATTTGAATCCAAAGTTCCTGATCGATTTGTAGGTGATCTAGCTGAATTATCAAAACACCGTGTATTAGTCAGGATTCCCTGGAGAAACAGAACAAATAGAATAATTATGGATACATAAGAGGAGATGTACTATGGGAATTGGTTCACACAATTATGGAAGCCAAGAAGTCCCATGATGCTGGTTCTCCAGTTTGCAAATGGCATATCATGGGACTTCCTGGCCTCCATAACTTTGTGAGCCAATTCCCATGGTTCAGTCCAAATCCAAAGGCCTGAGAACTACGGGAGCCAATGGTGTATCTCCCAGTTGGAGGCAAGAGGGCTCCGGTATAAGTCCTAGAATCCAAAGGCACAAGAGCCAGGAGCTCTAATGTCCAAGGGCAGGAGAAGATGGACATCTAGCTCAAGAAAAAGAGAGAGAATTCGCCCCCCTCTGCCTTTTTATTCTATTTGGGCCCTTGATGGATTTGCTGATACCTGCCCACACTGATGAGAGGTAATCTTCTTTACTCAGTCTACTAATTCAAATGCTAATATCTTCTGAAAATACCCTTCCAGATACACCCAGAAATAATTTTTTTTTCATTTTCTGGGTATCCCTTACCATAGCCAAATTGACACATAAAATTAGCCATCACAGGGACATGTAAAAGTGCTTCTCCCAAATTGCTCAAACTGTTTATAAATGCACTCCCAAAGAATGTGCAATGACAGAATTGTTGTAAATAAGATCATAGCCTACCAAAGTGACTTCCTTGAAGAACAACTTGCTATTAGTGCACTGTTAAGTTTCAAAGGGGATATCACATGTATACCTATGAAATAGAAAGTGGAAATTTTTTGTGACCAATTACCATTAAATAAAATAAATTGAGACTCAGAGAATGTGTTTTCACAAGATCTCACAGTTAGTAGATGGCAGAGCCAAATTTATGCTCAAGGCTTCAAACCCGAGGCTCTTACCATTAACCCAGGAAGGGCAATTATGTACCACTTCTGTTGCCATGGACCCTAGCCATGTTCATGGCAGACCATGCTCATAGATGACTCTTTCCCGCTGAGCTATATTCTACCTTAAAATCCCCAATGCAACTCTCTAGGGAGTGAAACCAATGAAGCAGGGTTGATACTCAATTTCTTTTTGCCTGTTGAAGAGAACTGCACTCATTTGAGTGCATAATTTCTGGTATATTTGTTCAAAAATTAGAGTCCTTTCTTGATAGCCACACAATATCCAAGTTAATGTCTTTAGCTCTTGGTAATTGTTCCAGGCCATGGAACCTTAGGATTAATTGGTAAATAGCAGATCTATGTGTTCTCAATCATTCATATTCCTCTTTGGAGATCTTTCAAAGAGTTATGCAAGCCTGCCTATACACATCACTGAAGACGTTCTTGTCTCCTAAAACTGTCTAATTATGACTTTAGTTGGTTCACTGAGGAGCTACAGCCCAGCATAAAATCAAGAACAAATGAAATGGAGTAACTACATGGCTTTTGGAAATTACAGGCCATGTCTGTTTCCATATTTACCAGTTTATTTAAATTAAGTTGTCCCTCCACCAGCTTTATTAAGGTATAATTGACAAATAAATATTGTATATGTTTATGGTGTGCAACCTGATGTTCTTACATATACATTGTGAAATGATTATATCAAGCTAATAACATATCTGTCACCTCACATACTTATCCTTTTTTTGTGGTTGGAACATTTAAGATCTATTCTCTTAGCAATTTTCAAGTATACAAAACATTATCATTAACTATAGTCACCATGGTATACAATAAATCTCCAAAACTTATTTATTCTGTCTAATTGAAACTTTGTACCCTTTGACCAACATCTCCCCACCCCCACTCTACCACCCCACCACTCCCCAGCCCCTAGCAACCACCATTCTACTCTCTGCCTCTATGAGTTTGACTTTTGTAGATTCCACATATAAATGAGATCGTGCAGTATTTATCTTTCTGTGCCTGGCTTATTTTACTTAGCATAATATCTTCCAGGTTAATCCGTGTAGTCACAGATGACAGGACTTCCTTCTTTTCAAAGGCTGAATAGTATTCCACTGTGTGCCTATACTACATTTTCTTTATTTACTCATCCATCAGTGGACACTTGGGATGATTCCATATCTTGGCTATTGTGAATAATGCGGCCATGAACATGATGGGTTAGATATCTCTGTAAGATGCTGATTTCAGTTCCTCTGGACATATACCCAGAAGTCTGCTCATAGGTGAAGGTACTAATCTGGATCATATGGTAGTTACATTTTTAATTTTTTGAGGAACCTCCACACTGGTTTTCATAATGGCTATGAGTTTTCGAAAGTTGAATTTAGTAAAGCAATCTGATAGCTTTGTTGATGGTCTTCCTGAGGCCTCAATTGAAACTCATTTGCATTTGACTGCTAACTTTTATTTTGACTTCAGCTTCTAACAACAAATTAGTGTTTCTTTAAGGGTGTGTGGGGACTCCTGCATTAGAACCACCTAAGGAATTTTTTTTTAATATCCTAGATATTGTCTGATGTCTGATAGTATTTCCCAGAAATACTACATTTTTAGCATGTTCTTTGTATGATATAAGACTGCTTAAGACCCACTCAAGGTTCTATTTCCAATTAAAATGTAGACAGTTGTAAAAGACTGTTACTCAAGCCAAGGGAAAAATATCTGTCTGTCTGTCTACTTTTTAAAGCCAGTGAACAATGAAAAGGAGGATATGTGAACTAAATTCCTAAGAATACTGGACACAGGGGGATAAAGCATTGGAAAATTTAAAGACAAGTGAATAGAAATTATCTTAACAGAAGCACAGAGAAGAAAAAGATTAAAAATAAAAATATTAATTTGGGGGGACAATATCAAATAGTCTAATATACATAGAATTGGAGTCTCAGAAAGCAAGGACAAAGAAAATTGGATAAAATAAATGTTGAAAGGTATATAATCCTAGCATTTTGGGAGGGTAAGTTGAGCAGATTGCTTGTGTCCAGGAGTTTGAGACCATCCTGGGCAATATAATGATACCTCGTCTCTACAAAAAATAAAAAATTAGCCAGGCATGGTGGTGTGTGGTCTTAGCTACTCAGGAGGCTGAGGCAAGAGGATTACTTGAGCCTGGGAGGTCGAGGCTGCAGTGAGTTGTGGCAAAAACAAAACTCACTGCATTCTAACCTGGGACAGAACTGTGGCCCTGTCTCCAAAAAAAAAAAAAAAAAAAAGTCAAAGAAAAAAATACACTTTATATTTGGGAGAAAGAGGGGGTTTGGAATGTGGGAGGAGAGACATGGATGACAACTGACTTTTTATCAGAAATAATAGAATTCAGAATAGAGTAAAACCATATCATTGAAATGGTTTTTTTGTTTGTTTGTTTTTATTTTTTGAGACGGAGTCTCACTCTGTCACCAGGCTGGAGTACAGTGGCACAATCTCAGCCACTGCAACTTCTGCCTCCTGGGTTCAAGCAATTCTCCCACCTCAGCCTCCTGAGTAGCTGGGACTACAGGCACACACTGCCATGCCGGCTAATTTTTTTTTTTTTTTTTGTATTTTAGTAGAGACGAGTTTCACCATGTTGCTCAGGCTGGTCTCAATCTCCTGAGCTCAGGCAATCCATCCGCCTGGGCTTCCCAAAGTGCTAGGATTACAAGCGTGAGCCACCGTGCCTGGCCAAGTGTTTTAAAAATACATAACAATTATCAACCTAGAATTCTACATCCTGTGAAAATAAACTTCAGAATGAGGGGGAAATAAAGACACTTTTAATGGAAAAAAAAAAAAAAAGCTCAGAGAATGTGTTACCAACAGACCCAAACTACAAGAAATGGGCCATTTTGTTTATATGTTTATATCACTAAAATCTCTAGAGTTTTTTTCAGCTAAAGGGAAGTTATCCCAGATGGAAGCCAGATTTCAGAAGGAATCTACAGGAAGGAATGAAAAGCACTAAAAAAGGTAAATATGTGGGTAAATATAAAAGACTAGTTTTTATTTTTTTAATTTTGAAAAGATGTTTGAGTGTTTAGATAAAAATAATAGCAAGTGTTGTGGGGTTTGTAACATACGTAGAAGTGAAACACATAACAAAATAGCACAAAGGGATAAAGGCTGTAAATGGAATTATAGTGTTTTAAGTCATTATTCTGTCCATGAAGTACTATAATATTTATTCAGTGTAGACAATGATAAATTAAGGTTGCATATTGAAATCACTAGAGCCATCATTATTTAAAAAAAAAAACCCAAAGAGACATAGGTAAGAAGCAATAAAGAAGATAAAAAGAATGTGAAAATAATCTAAGAGAAGGCAGTCAAGAAGGAACAAAGAAAGAAAGAACACATGGAAAACAAAGCAACATGATTCATAAACTCACACCACCAGAAATTACATCAATCAAATGTAAGAGATTAAACACTGAAATTAGAAAGTATAGATTTTTAGACTGGATTAAAAAGTGACAGCCATCAATGTGCTATGTAAAAGACGTGCAATTTATTCTGATGTTCTGGGTGGGAATTTGTTCAAGTCTTTATCTTCACTTACTTTGTATTCTTATTTTCTCTTTTCTACTTGTTCTATCATTACTGAGAGAAGAGTATTGAAATCTCCAACGAAAACTCTTACTCTATTCTCCTTTCAGTTCTATCAGTTTTTGTTGTGTATATTTCAAAGCTCCATTATTAAGTACATACACATTAGAACTGTTGTCTTCTTAATGAAATAACGCCTTTATTATGAAATGTCCTCTTTATCTATGATCATATTCCTTGTTATGAACTCTACTTTGTATCTACTCCAGCTTTCTCTTGATTATTGCTTGATTGGTATATGTATCTCCATCTTTTATTTTAATCTATCTGTATCTTTATATTTAAAGTGGTTTCTTGTATAGACAGCATACACTGAATATTGTTTTTTTTGTTTGTTTTTTTTTTTTTTTTTTTTGAGATGGAGTCTTGCTCTGTCACCCAGGCTAGAGTGCAATGGTGAGATCTTGGCTCACTGCAGCCTCCACCTCCCAGGTTCAAGAGATTCTCCTTCTTCAGCCTCCTGGGGTAGCTAAGATTACAGGCACATGTCCTACCACACCCAGCTAATTTTTGTATTTTTAGTAGAGACGGGGTTTTACCATGTTGGCCAGGCTGGTCTCAAACTCCTGACCTCAAGTGATCTGCCCGCCTTGGCCTCCCAAAGTGCTGGGATTACAGGCATGAGCCACCACATCCAGCCTGGATATTGTATTTTTAAAATTCTCTGACAATATCTGGCTTTTAATTGCAGTGTTTAGACCACTTACAATGAACATATTTATATGGTTGAGCATACATTCATCATTTTGCTGTTTGTTTTCTATTTTCTCATTTGCTTTTTGTTTTCCATGTCTTTTTTATTGTTGTTGTTGCTGCCCTAGCAGCCCAATTAATTTTTGACAAACTTTAAATTTTAGAATAGTTTTAGATTTACAGAAAAGAAAATATAGTACAGAAAGTTCCTGAATATTCCATTCTTGGTTTCTCTTATTAACATCTCACATTCATATGGCATATTTATCAAAACTAAAAAATATTGATGTCTTCTTAATTACAGTCCTTAGTTAATTCAAATTTCTTTAGTTTTAACCAAACATCTCTCTTCTGCCCCAGGATTTCATCCAGGATACAATGTTACATTTAGTTGTCATGTCTACTTAAGCTCCTCCTGGCTGTGACAGTTTCTCAGAATTTCCTTATTTTTGATGACCTTAATAGTTTTGAGAAATACTGGTCAGGTGTCAGGCATTTTATAGAATATTCTTCACTTTGAGTTTGTCTGGCATTTTTCTCATGGCTAGATAGGGGTTATGGGTTTTTGGAAGGAAGACCACTGAGATAAAGTACCATTCTCATGGCATCACCTGAAGGGTACCTAACTATCAAGTTGACTTATCACTATTGATATTAACTTGATCTTCTGATTGAGGTAGGGTTTATCAGACTTCTCCACTGTAAAGTTACTCTTTTCTCCCTTCTTTCCATCCTGGACTCTTTGGAAAGAAGTCATTATATGCAGCCCCCACTTAAGGGGTAAGAATATCTTCCACCTCCTTGATGGGGGAGTATCTACATAAATTATTTGGAATTCTTCTGCAAGGGAGATTTATCTCTTCTCCCCCATTTATTTATTCATACAATCATGTATTTCTGTTAGGTGGATTAACATTTATTTTATACTTTGGGTTATCAGCCAATACTACATTATTTACTTTATTGCTCAAGTTGTTCAAGCTTTGGCCATTGGTAACCTTTTCAGTTGGCTCTTGCATCCCTTTGACATACCCCTATCTTTTTACCCCAGCACTTCCTTACTTTCTGGCACTATAGTTTCCTTTTGTATGTTATTAGTGCAGCCCTAGAATCAGCCATTTCTCCAGTGATTCCTGGTTTCTTTTACTAGAGAATGGTATTAGAAACCAAGATCTGGGTGCTAGGGGTGCTCATTACTATTGGGGTGTTGTGGTTTCTAGGCCCTTTTAGCTGACAGAGCAATAAAATGTATGTATCTATACATACTAATCCATGAATCGATACATATCTGCAAATATCTATTTGTAACCATCTGTAGCTATATTAAGCTAAATTCGTGAGTTCATTCTGATGTCTCTAACTCTAATCCAATACCACATGGATCATTCTAACCTTCCTCCCTTAAGAGCACTTCTTGTGAAATGTTATTTCCTGTCCTGGTCACTTCCTCCCTCCTTCCCCTACATCATCCTGAGAGGTGACAACGTGCTAGCAGGCCTCACTCACTCTCAGCACCTCCTCGGCCTCGGCATCCACTCTGGCCATGCTTGAGGAGCCCTTCAGCCTGCTGCTGCACTGTGGGAGACCCTCTCTGGGCTGGCCGAGGCTGGAGCCGGCTCCCTCTGCTTGCAGAGAGGGGTAGAGGGAGAGGCACAGGCGGGAACCAGGGCTGCGTGCAGCACTCACTGGCCAGTGCGAGTTCTGGATGGGCGCGGGCTCAGTGGGCCCGCACTTGAAGCAGCCGGCCGGTGCCGCTGGCCCCAGGCAGTGAGGAGCTTAGCACCCGGGCCAGCAGCTGCGGAGGGTGCGCCAGGTCCCCCAGCACTGCTGGCCGGCCCGCGCCACGCTCAAATTCTTGCTGGGCCTCAGACGCCTTCCTGCGGGGCAGGGCTCGGGACCTGCAGCCCGCCATGCCCAAGCCCCCCTGCAGTGGGTTCCTGCATGGCCCGAGCCTCCCCGACAGGCGCCGCCCCGTGCTCCACCGCGCCTGGTCCCATCAACCGCCCAAGGACTGAGGAGTGCGGGTGCACTGTGTGGGACTGGCAGGCAGCTCCACCCATTGCCCCGGCGCAGCATCCACTAGGGGAAGCCAGCTGGGCTCCTGGGTGGGGTGGGGACTTGGAGAACTTTTATGTCTAGCTAAAGGATTGTAAAGGCACCAATCAGCACTCTGTGTCTAGCTCAAGGTTTGTAAACGCACCAATCAGCACCCTGTGTCTATCTCAAGGTTTGTAAATGCACCAATCAGTGCTCTGTGTCTAGCTAATCTAGTGGGGACTTAGAGAACTTTTACCTCTAGCTAGAGGATTGTAAATACACCCATCAGCACTCTGTGTCTACCTCAGGGATTGTAAACACACCAATCAGCACCCTGTCAAAACGGACTAATCGGCTCTCTGTAAAATGGGCCAATCAGCAGGATGTGGGTGGGGTCAGATAAGGGAATAAAAGCAGGCTGCCCGAGCTAGCAGTGGCAACCTGCTTGGGTCCCCTTCCACAACGTGGAAGCTTTGTTCTTTCGCTCTTTGCAATAAATCTTGCTGCTGCTCACTCTTTGGGTCCACACTGTCTTTATGAGATGTGACACTCACCGTGAAGGTCTGCAGCTTCACTCTTGAGGCCACCGAGACCACGAACCCACCGGGAGGAACGAACAACTCCGGACAGGAGGAACGAGCAACTCCAGACGCGCCGCCTTAGGAGCTGTAACACTCACCGCAAAGGTCTGCAGCTTCACTCCTGAAGCCAGTGAGACCACGAACCCACCAGAAGGAAGAAACTCCGAACACGTCTGAACATCAGAAGGAACATACTCCGGATACACTATCTTTAAGAACTGTAACACTCACCACGAGGGTCCGCAGCTTTATTCTTGAAGTCAGTGAGACCAAGAACCCACAAATTCCAGACACTATCCCACCTAGAAACAGTTTTTATAAGTCCTCCATTTCTGAGCCAATATTGTACGTTTGCTCAATAAAGTCACTCTCCAGCTATGAAGTCTCTGCTTAAAAATTGTGTTAGAATGTGGAAGATCTGCAATGAGAAGCATCGGGTGGCTGCTGTGTTGACTTCTGGCTCTACTATCTGTCTATAAAGTGAGTCTTAACAGGCTTTTAGCTGCTCCATGTGTTAGTTTCTCCACCTGTAAAAGGGGCATATAGTTGACCTGTTCTCTCATTAAGTTTTTGTGGGAATCAATATATTATGGGAATAAAAATAAGTTTGTAAATAAAAAGCACTGAGATAGATAAGGAATTATAGTGACCTTTGGCCAAGTTGTTCCTAATCGCGTGCCTGATGTTGTGAGGAAAGAATAAACAATGTCTCATTTCATCCTCAAAATGAGGTACCTTTTATTATTCCCATTTTACAAGTGAGGAAACTCAGGCTTATAGAAGTCAAAAACTTAGTAAGTGGTAGCAGTGATAATGAACAGTCAACAATTCCTGAGGGCTTACTATGGGCTTGGCACTGTTCTAAGCACTTTACATGTATTGATTCATTTAATTCTCACAACAACCCGATGAAGCAGGTTTCTATTATCCCCATTTTACAGAAGAGGAAATTGAGGCACAGAAAGGATTCTACAGGCTGGGCTTGGTGGCTCATGCCTGTAAATCGCAACAATTTGGGAGGCTGAGGCAGGTTGATCACTTTAGCCAAGGAGTCCAAGATCAGCCTGGGCAATGTGGCAAAACCCCATCTCTAAAAAAATAATAATAATACAGAAAATTAGCCAAGCGTGGTGGTGCATGCCTGTAGTCCCAGCTACCTGGGAGGCTGAGGTGGAAGAATCACCTGAGTCTGGGAGGTCGAGGTTGCAATGAGCTGAGATCACACCACTGCACTCCAGCCTGGGCGACAAGAGTGAGACCCTGTCTCAAAACAAACAAACAAACAAACAACAACAAAAAAGATTCTACAGCTAGTAAATGATATAGTTGGCACTGTAACCCAGATCCCTCTCTGTCTCTTTCTGGGTCTTTTTAAACTATTAAACTGCCCACACCATGACTCATTCATTTGACAGATATTTATTGAGAATATACAGTGTGTTATTCATTGGTCTAATCACTGCAGATCCAGTAGTGAATAAGAAAAAAAAAATCCTGCTGTCATAATGCTTATATTAACAAATATAAAGGTAGGGCATGATGGCATGCGCCTGTAATACTGGCTACTGAGGAGGCTGAAGTGGGAGGATCCCATGAGGCCAAGAGTTGGAGACTGCTGTGAGCTGTAATTGTGCTACTCCACTCCAGTCTGGGCAACAGAATGAAACCCCGTATCTTAAAAAATAAAAATAAAAAGGCTGGGCACAGTGGCCCACACCTATAATCCCAGCACTTGGAGAGTCTGGAGGATTGCTTGAGGCCAGGAGTTCAAGATCAGCCTGGGCAACATGGCAAGACCCCACTGTGATCCCAGCTATTCGGGAGGCTGAGGCAGGAGGATTGCTTGAGCCCAGGAAGTCAAGGCTGCAGTGACCCGAGATGGTTCCACTGCACTCCAGCCTGGGCAACAGAGCGAGAACTTGTGTCAAGGAAAAAATAAAACCAACCAACCAAACAAAAACAAATATAAGGCAATAATGCTATTGCTCTTGCCTTAACTTGGAAAACATGTGTCTCTGCTTAGAGTACCTCTTTCATTTACGATCACTTAAGATTTTGTTTCTTCTTTTAAGGGGTTATGCCAGCAGTAAACTGTGGAGTGCGGTATTGCTCTCACTTGATTTGCTGGTTTGTTTTATCCCAGATGTCGGAAAAAGGTGACTGAAGGTAGGCACGTCCTCCTCAAGAGCTGGGGTTAACCTATTCACAATTATACATTCCTTTCTTACTTTTCTAGTACCTCTCAGTCTTTTCAACCTCTGCTGTCCTCACTGGCAGCTGGTTCCAGCACCTCCTCATTGAGAAGAATCAGTACTCCCTAATGAACATACACATGTCCAGGCAAGGCGGGGCCAAACAGACCACAAGACTCTGTTGTGAGTGGATGTGATGCTCAGAGCTGCTGCAGGATGAAGCCCACAAAGAGAAGAGGACAAATCCAGAAGCCACAGAGAAGTGGAACCAGAAGCCCAGTGTGCCTTGGGTGAAGCACGGCTACTTAAGCATTTGTTACGCAAGATAATAAATCTCCTCTTGGCTTAACCAGTCTGGAGTTGGATCTGCAGTTACTTGCAACTAAAAGCATCCTCACTGATACAGCATTCCAAAGGCCCCTTTGTTCTTAAGAACATGTGTGCCTGGGAATCTCTGCTATAAACTATTCCATTTCCAAGAAGGATTCTTCTACAAGCCAATGAAATTCTCACTCTTTGTGGTCGAATGCCCTCTGTCTGCCCTCTTCTTTTCTTAGCTTTATTTCCTTAAGGGACTACTCAAAGACACTTGGTACGCTGAAATAACTCTAGCATTACCAAAAGCATTTAGTAAAGCTACGTGATGCTGACTGGAGACACTTGAAGAGAAAACAATGCTTTGAATTAAAGCACGTTTTCTAGTGTCGATGAATAACACATAAATAGGACCCACTTAGCCATCTATCCCCACTGTGTTATTCATCTTCCGGCTGCTTTGGTGAGTGCCAAAATGCTTCTGGGAGCTTTCTGAGCACTTCTTTCCTTTCCATTCCTTTCCTGGATTACATTCAAAAGATCTAAAAACAAACAGGCATGT
The DNA here is from genome assembly GCF_000001405.40 of Homo sapiens. Classification (NCBI taxonomy): domain Eukaryota; kingdom Metazoa; phylum Chordata; class Mammalia; order Primates; family Hominidae; genus Homo; species Homo sapiens. Next base: position 32,882,906 of record NC_000002.12, on the reverse strand, counting down.
TAATTACTAAGGGTTATTATTTTCTTCAAAGCCTCAAAGCTCTAAAGAATCAACACTATTTATTTTCTGAATTCACTCACCACAGTTTCAAACCAGCCAACGTGGAGACAATCTTCAGTACTTGCTGAAAATGTGCTTTCACTGTAAGCTTCAGTGCCCTGGAGCAGTGCTGTGAGATCCTTCTATGAGCTCTAGGCAGCAATTAAGTCTATTTCAAAAGATGTGCAGGTAAGATTGCTTAGGAGTAGGAAGTCCAGTCAATTCCAAAAATAATATAATGTTGAAATTTTCCTTGCTTACCCCAGGAGGAAAATGTTCTCTGCTTTGTCAATTCTATAAATTACATTTTTTCACTTTTGGAATGGTAGGTCCAGAAAGCGCAGAAAATAATAAAAACAATACCCATATAGTAGCCATAATGATTTAACAAGTGCTAACATTTGGCCATATTTGCATCACATGTAATTAATGATGGATATCACTATTTGACTCATAAAATGAATTGTTCCATTAAACTAGTCCCCTTTCCATTTTTCTCTTTAAGAGACATTTATAATTAAGCCTTTAAATTCTGAGCCTTTTGCAACCATGATTTCAGAATAGAAGAGTAGGGGCCAGGAATAGACCATAAATGCTCCAAATGGGACTTCAACAAGCCTTCATTGCTACCTGGAGTTGGGTCATGGCTGGTGAGAGTCTATGTGGGATATTCACATGGGACAGTTAGAAGATATAAATGTTCTGTAAGCACCAAAGTTGTTAGATCTGAATATCTTGAGCTTCATGGAGATTAAAATTCTAAAGTTACTCAGGTCTGTGTTTTGTTGATTTCGTTCAATGCACGCATATTCTGACATTTCATTTTACAATGATCTTCATTTTTATTTTGATTTTTTACTATTTTACAAACTGACATCAACTCTTTATTAAAAAAAAAACCTTTTTTTATAACAAAAAAGATAAGTTTTTTCCATAATAATAAAAAGTTGGAATATAGGCCGGGCACACTGGCTCACGCCTATAATCCCAGCACTTTGGGAGGCCAAGGCGGGTGGTTCACTGAGGTCAGTAGTCTGAGACCAGCCTGGCCATCATGGCGAAACCTCGTCTCTCCTAAAAAAAAAAAAAAAAAAGTATATATATACACAAAAATTGGCCGGGCATGGTGGTGCATGTCTGTAGTCCCAGCTACTTCGGAGGCTGAGGCAGGAGGATCACTTGAACCTGGGAGGTGGAGGTTGCAGTGAGCTGAAATTGCACCACTGCCCTCCAGCTTGGGTGACAGAGCAAGACTCCGTCTCAAAAAAAAAAAAAAAAAGTTGGAATATATACAATGGGTGAGGCTGTCCAAAACCTGCCCCATAAAGTAAGAAAAATTTTGACAATTAACAAAGATTCATTTTTCAAAGGCCTATTAATCATAGATTAATTAAACAATTATCACTCAAAAGGTACCTACAGAATTTTCACCTCAATCTTTTATCGCAAAAACAGTGGAAATCTATAGTCCAGAGACCTTCTTTAATAATGAGCCACTGATAAACACAATATATATATATAATTCATATAACATTTCTTTCATGTTGTAAATTTTTTTCAAGCATTATACAATAATGAATTTGCAACAGGCTTTCAATATTATTTACAATATTTCCTTCCAGTACGAGTTTTCACATGACTTTGAAAGTAATTGTTAAAATTGAGAACTTTTCTGTATTTTCCACACTACTCGGGATCCAGTCAGGTGTGATTCTCCTGTTTATAGGGTCCATCTTGTGTGCATGATCACGCGTCTATGAAAGGATATGGGAAAAGCAAAGGCATTCCCACATCTCATACATTCACAGAGCTTCTCTCCAGAATGAGATATTTTAAGTCAGCAAATGCAACTAAAAGAACTAAATGGGCCAGGCGTGGTGGCTCATGCCTGTAATCCCAGCACTTTGGGAGGCTGAGACGGGTAGATTATCTGAGGTCAGGAGTTTGAGACCAGCCTGACCAATGTGGTGAAACTCCATCTCTAATAAAAATATAAAAATTATCCAGGCATGGTGATATGTGCCTGTAGTCCCAGCTACTTGGGAGGCTGAGACAGGAGAATTGCTTGAACCCGGGAAGCAGGGGTTGCAGTGAGCTGAGATTGTGCCACTGTACTCCAGCCTGGGTGAGAGAGCGAGACTCCGTTTCAAAAAAACAAAATCAAACAAACAAAAGAACTAAATGCCTGACCACATTTCTTATACCGTAAGGCTTTTCTTCAGTGTGAGTCCTTTCACTTTTTCAAATCATGTTTCTTACAGTTATAGGTTTTCTTTCTCCAGTTTGATTGCTTTCATATCTTTGAGGAAAACTGGGAAAATTAAATATTTTCCCATATTGCTTACATTTGTAGTTTTTCTCCACTATGAGTTCTTTCATGTTTGCAATGGTAACTGGAACAGCCTAAAGCTTTACCACATTTTTTTTTATACTTTAAGTTCTAGGGTACATGGGCACAACGTGCAGGTTTGTTACATATGTATACATGTGCCATGTTGGTGTGCTGCACCCATAAACTTGTCATTTACATTAGGCATTTCTCCTAATGCTACCCCTCCCCCCTCCCCCACCCCATGACAGGCCCTGGTGTGTGATGTTCCCCATCCTGTGTCCAAGTGTTCTCATTGTTCAATTCCCACCTTTGAGTGAGAACATGCGGTGTTTGATTTCCTGTCCTTGCGATAGTTTGCTCAGAATGATGGTTTCCGGCTTCATCCGTGTCCCTACAAAGGACATGAGCTCATCCTTTTTTATGGCTGCATAGTATTCCATGGTGTATATGTGCCACATTTTCTTAATCCAGTCTATCATTGACGGACATTTGGGTTGGTTCCAAGTCTTTGCTATTGTGAATAGTGCCGCAATTAACATACGTGTGCATGTGTCTTTATAGCAGCATGATTTATAATCCTTTGGGTATATACCCAGTAATGGGATGGTTGGGTCAAATGGTATTTCTAGTTCTAGATCCTTGAGGAATCGCCACACTGTCTTCCACAATGGTTGAACTAGTTTACACTCCCACAACTGTGTAAAAGTGTTCCTATTTCTCCACTTCCTCTCTAGCACCTGTTGTTTCCTGACTTTTTAATGATTGCCATTCTAACTGGTGTGAGATGGTATCTCATTTTTGTTTTGATTTGCATTTCTCTGATGGCCAGTGAGTTTTTCTCCAGGATGATTTGGATCTTCATTTTAAATGATATTTATACACAGTTTGAATTGCAGAAATTTAAAACGAAACTATCTCTTCTCCTACATAATTAACCCACACAGTCACATCTAATCATTGCAGGGCTTAAACGACTTTTTCCAAATATGAACATAATAAAGTCCCCACAGCTCCCATGCCAGTCATATAGTCCTGTTGAAATGTTTTAGGGCATTTATAGATTTCTGTTGCTTTTCTCTGGTTTACAATCATCCTAGAATAAAAGCAAAGTTCAAAAGAGGGTAAAGTACAATATGTTGACAGATACAGGCATTCCTAACAAGAGCTGGTCTCTGTAATAGTCTACATGCCTAGCCAGAAGAATGCAAACCAACAATTGCTTATTGATCCCAGCAAAATCGTGCATCTTTCTCTCTTTGGGCATACATATTGTATCTTGGAGAAGCTCGAAAAATCAGAAATCGAGTTATGGAAATAGATAATGGTGATGGTTAAACAATACCATGAAAGTGCTTAATGCCAGTGAGTTGTACAGTTAAAAGTGGCAAAAATGGTAAATGTTATGTATATTTTACCACAATAAAAAATTCTTTAGATTAGAAACATTAAAATATCTAAAGAATAGTTGAATAGTAGGTCAAGTGAAGTTTTAAAAAAACTAACCATTTATATGGCTTTTGGGCAAACAGCACTTTCGGAGTTGACAAGGTCAAGTTTCCAAGTACCATGGGTAGTTCTATTTCTCAGACACTCTGTGGATTGAGGCTGCCTCATGCTTTTTGCTTTCTCCACCAGGAAAAGAGCAAGCTATCTGATGATTAAAACAGTCAGTGATTCCAAATTTACAATATGGTTTTCCTCTGCCTCTGGACAGGACCCTCTCTGCTATCTTCTCCTGTCTGGCCATCTCCAGTCAGTCATCTGGTCTCCTAAGTCCACATGGCATTATTTGATATTAAGATATACAATTTTAATCTGTGTTAATTCATCCTTGTTTACTTTGAAATGCTTTTTCCTACTGGCATATTGTGTAGATTGGGTAACTGTGGAAAAGCCTTAATAAACTGTATGTGGATTTTGTTAAACATTTAGCATCTGTTTTCCAAAATCCACTAGTGAAGGACTCAGAAAAGCTAATAAGGTGACCAGTTCATTTTATGACAGGGTCCTGTCACCTAAGAACTGTGTGCCGTATGTGCCCCAGAAATAGCTGACTCTAACCAAATAGAAAAACAAGCCATCCGCATTTTTTCTTGCCATGGCCTTAGTTTACAACCAGCCAATATATGATGAAAGTTTATGCTCCTTTTCCACGTAAGTTATTTTTCCAACTAAAAATTGTTCCCAGCTGTTCTGACCCAGATGTGTTGGCAGTCCGTACTGTGAGGGCCTTTATACAGGTGATGAAGTCCTCAGACAATAAAGTTTACACGACTTGTATACAGCTGGTCTCCAATACAACTTTGGACCTACAACACCCTTTCCCCCACCAGAAAAAAGCAGCGGTTTCCTGACACTTCACTCGGGGCACAGTTCAAAGGGGATTTCAGTGCTGTAGGCCCAAACTTGTGTAGGCCCTGGACTTAGGAAGGAAAAGTAAGACAAATTACCCAGTTTTCCTCTTCCCCTGGAGAATTCAGCCTGCTGTAACTGAAAATAGCTCCAGCAAGAAAATGACCAGAAATTGTCCCTGGGATTTGGCTTCCAGGAGAGGTTAGCTGGGATATCTGAACGCGCCCACTGAGTTGCCATCTGTCTTTTAGCTTCACATTGTCTCATTTTTAACTGCAGCCTCACCCTTTCCTTTACATTTAAATGAAAGGTCATTTTTAGTACATAGAGGTTGTGTGTAAAATCAGTGCAAGATGATGTTTCATCAGGAAGTTGTAGGATAAGCAGAGCAATGGATCACAATTGGGGTGACTGTACATCCAGGTTTTCTCAAGACAATCCCAGGCAGTTGACGTCTATCGGGCACTTCATTGTTAGAAAAACATTAAAACAGTGGAATTCGACAAGCTGGGATGGGTTTAGTAGCCCTCTCCTTGGCATTCTCAGTTGCCAGCAGTCTTGAACAATAGTGATGAGACCTGTGCAATAAACTGAGTTCTCACTGTAACTCCTGATAAAAATCTAAGGAAGACCAGCTATAATACCCTTCTCTCTTTTCTCAACCATTCCCTGATAAGGTGCAATTAACACGGTCTCTGAAAGACAGCTGGACAAATTACAGTGTGTCCAGTTACAAGTTTCCAGGGACTCAGTGGCGTTGGGAGATGTACTGACCCTGCTGCCAGCCACCTTTCACTAGTGCCTGCTGTAGCCTGGGAGGTCCATGAAGCTGCCTGGCCACATGTCAGCAGGGTCAGTGGGAAATGTGCGAAAGTATAGTTTAGGTGAAGTGAAATATGTGCAGGAAAGGGAGGCTGAGTAGCCCATCACAGAGCACAGAAACCGTAGTTTGAATGTTCTTGTGTACAGTGGTTTTGTCACTTACTTTATAATTTATCTACAACCTTTATTTATTGCATTGTTTGGTAACATACATTTCTTTTGCAATAAACCCCTTGGCAGCAATCAATCAGCTTGAAAAGGTCAAAGCACATTTTTAGTGAAAAATTAAAATATTAGGTTGTAGATGAATGTGTAACTTGCAAAAAATATTTGTTGATATCTAGCATCCACTGCTGGGATGTCATAATGATAACACTGGTCACCTGAAAACCAGAAAACGCGAATTTTCTGAAGAAGCATCAGAATTTACTTCAAAAGTCAGTAGTTACCTTAAGTAGATCATGCCCAAAGATTATTATAACACACACAGCTGCATGAGGTGTGTTTTTATATTATTCTGCGAAGCTTAATTTTTCACATAGATGCAATAACTGTTCTAAAATAATTTCATTCATTTTCCACTCCCAATTTTCTGGTGCATGCCTGAAACATTAAGTATTAGCTGCAAATGAGTCTCCTTTAGCAGAATGAGTACTGTGTAAACAGTGACATGACACCAGTTTTATTTCAATTTGATTGAATATATTTATGTTATAAATATGTAACATAATGTTTTGAAGTGATATATGAAGTGATTACTACAGTCAAGTCAATTAATGTATCTGTCATCTCACAGTTATCCTTCTTTGTGTCTGTGGTAAGAGCATGTAAAATCTACTCATAGAAAATTTCCAGTATGTAGTACAATATTATTAGCTACAATCATTATGATGTACTTCCACTCTCTAGATTTATTCATCCTATTAACACATAACTGCAACTCTGTGCCCTTTGATCTACAGCTCTCCATTCTGCACCCCCTGCACCCACTTCACCTCTAGTAACTGTCAATCTACTGTTTCTATGTAGTCAACTTTTAAAAAATATTCCATGTATAAAAGAGATCATGCACATTTTTCTTTCTGTGTCTGCCTTATTTCACTTAGCATCCATGCTGTCATCAGTGGAAAGATCTTCTTTTTTAAAGTCGAATAATATTGCATTGTATTGATCTATATAGAGAGATACAGATACCACAGTTTCTTTATCCATTCCTCCATTGGATAGACATTTGGGTTGATTCCATATCTTGGCTATTGTGAATAATGCTGCAATGAACAAGGGAGCGCAGATATCTCGATGAGGTGTTGACTTCATTTCTTTGGTTATTTGTGTGTTTTGTTGGTTTGTTTTCTTTTTTTCTTTTTTTTTTTTTTTTTTGAGACGGAATTTTACTCTGTCACCCAGGCTGGAGTCCAGTGACACAATCTCAGCTCACTGCAACCTCCGTCTCCTTGGTTCAAGCGATTCTCCTGCCTCAGCCTCCTAAGTAGCTGGAATTACAGGCGTACACCACCACACCTGGCTAATTTTTGTATTTTTAGTAGACGGGGGTTTCACCATATTGGCCAGGCTGGTCTTGAACTTCTGACCTCCAGTGATCTGCCCGCCTCGGCCTCCCAAAGTGCTGGGATTAAAGGCGTGAGCCATTGCACCCGGCCTGACTTCATCTCTTTGGATAAATACCTGGCAGAGGGATTGCTGGGCCATATGATAGTCCTATTTTTAATTTTTTGCAGAACCTCCATGCTGTTTTCAGTAATGACTGTACTAATTTATATTCCCACCAACAGTGTACAAGGGTTCCCTTTCCTCCACACCCTCACCAACACACATTATCTCAACTTTTTAATTATAGCCATGCTAACAGGTTTGACACCAGTTTATATCAGGGTCATCAGCTGCTTCCAATGAGAAATCAGTCCATTGTAATAATAGTTCTTTTAAAAAATGAACGTATTAAATAAAATTAAAATGTTGGAAAGTTCATTCTGTTTTTACCTTTGGGTAAAAAAATCTGTCATCATTTTGACCGCTATCATAAATCCAGTTTCAAAGTTTCATCACTGAAGAGAAAGTTTGCTGTTGAGGTAATAAGTTTTAGTGGCCAGAATCCTGGGGGAAACAGTATTCTTACTAAATCAAGAGCCTGTGGAGCAGAAATGTACTTGGACTGCAGTGGAATGTGTATAATTAGCACATTGTACAAACAAGCTGTAGTGGCCTGCCAATGGAAATGAAAGCTGAATTGTCAAATTTTTATACACACACACACGGATCACAAAATTCTCCCTGCTGCCTACCCATTGACTTAGAAACAGCAAAGCCTTTATGATAAACTACTTTATAAAAATCATCCTAAATGTTCTACAATGCTCCGAATTTTGGTTGCATTTTGTTCAAAATAATTTGGAAGTTTTTAACCCTTTCCCCGTTTGCCCCGAGAATACTTGCCGGCAGCGCTTGCAGCTGCAGCGTTTACCCTGAGATAACTTTGCCACGAAATATCTTGCTTTTATTATTACTTTCGCGCTGCTCGAGTATATCAACTTTGGAAACAAAAGATATCATTTTATTTACAGTATCCAATTTTAGTAGTGGTATTTCCATTTACAAAATGTAATTCTCGATCACTGAAAATGTCAAATCTTAGAAAATGTAGCACTCCTATGCCTGATGTTAACATTGTTCTCAAACAGTTATTGGCCAAAGAGTCATTTGATGAATCTGATTTTTCCGAGATAGGCAATTCTGATGTTAGTTCTGTTTAGAAGTAACTCCAAGAACCAGTTTTTATATTTTATTTTCACATTGAAAATCAGTCAGATTTGCTTTAGCCTCAAAGAGTGTGTTTATGTAAAATTAAATGAGCACTGGCAGCAAGCTGCACTTTTTTTTTTTCTAAACGGGAATTAATGTATTGAGCAAATGGGTTCTTTTTAAACCTTCAGCTTTTGAGCTTGAAAGTTTTAGAGAATTACAATTACTGAAAACCAAATTGACAAATAGGCAGAATCAGCTACATAATTGGCAGGACCTAGAGTAAAATTGCAATTGTAGGATCCCTTGGTCAAAAATTAAGAATTGGCTGGTGTGGTGGCTCACATCTGTAATCCCAGCCCTTTGGGAGGCCGAGGAGGGTGGATCAGTTGAGGTGAGGAGTTTGAGACCAGCCTGGCCAACATGGTGAAACTCCGTCTCTACTAAAAATACAAAAATTAGCCAGGTGTTGTGGTAGGCACCTGTAGTCTCAGCTACTTGGGAGGCTGAGGCAGGAGAATCACCTGTACCTGGGAGGCAGAGGTTGCAGTGAGCTGAGATCACGCCACTGTACTCCAGCCTGGGCGACAGAGAGATACTCTGTCCCCTAAATAAATAAAATTAAGAATTTCAAGATGGTGGCAGCAGAACATGAAACCCATTGCGGGGTCCTTCTAAGCACTGGGTTCCATGTGACTGCGCGGTTCATAAGCCCATCAAGCTAGCTCTGCAAAGGAAGACACTGGAATGTGTCCCTCAAAGCTAGCAGGGGAGGGGGGTTAATGACAGCTCTAATAAAGTACAAATTTGGAAATGCTATAATTGTGCACTGGACTATCTCAACTTGTGAGAAGAATATTTTGATGGAGCCTCTATTTTTATTTGGATTTAGATTCTGTCCCAGAATAGAATGTAATTGAGAAGGTTTACAATTTTGAACTACCTAAATTTGGTGAACCATTCAAAAGAATCGTAAATAGAGACAACCTATTTGACAAGTTGTATCAATGAAAGGCTCTCTGAATAGAGGTCAAAAGTACCTAAGAGAATATTTAAGCTAGATTCGTCACACATTTAATTTTTTTTGTTTGTTTGTTTGTTTGTTTGTTTGTTTTTTTTTTTTTGAGACGGAGTCTTGCTCTGTCGCCCAGGCTGGAGTGCAGTGGCGCTATCTCAGCTCACTGCAAACTCCGCCTTCCAGGTTCATGCCATTCTCCTGCCTCAGCCTCCTGAGTAGCTGGGACTACAGGCGCCCGCCACCACGCCCAGCTAATTTTTTTGTATTTGTAGTAGAGACAGGGTTTCACCATGTTAGCCAGGATGGTCTCAATCTCCTGACCTCGTGATCCGCCCGCCTTGGCCTCCCAAGGTGCTGGGATTATAGGCGTGAGCCACCGTGCTTGGTCACACATTTAATATTTTTAAAAATTAGAATTGAGAATGGTCTTTACTTAGCAGAATAGTTTTCAACTTACAAGGCACCATCACTTCTACAGAGAAATTTTTTCAATTAAATATATTGTGGTTTTATATATAAGGAAGAATCAATTGCAAGTATTCATTTCAAAGTTTTTAAGCCCCAAATACAGATAATTTTATGAAAAAAAGTTAGAAATAGTAAAACTACTAAAAAATACACTCTGCAGAAAAATACCATGACAGATAGACCAAGAAATTAAAATATGTAAAATATATCGAGTTATTATTTTAAATTTTTAAATTTTCAGGTAACATAAGTTTTCAAATTTGCTTTAATGAACACAAATATATGCCATTTTCTTTTTAAAAAATAATTTTGGCCAGGCATGGTGGCTCATGCCTGTAATCCTAGCACTCTGGGAGGCAGAGGCAGGAGGATCACCTGAGGTCAGGAGTTCAAGACCAGCCTGGCCAACATAGTGAAACCCTGTCTCTACTAAAAATACAAAAATTAGCTGGGCGTGGTGGCGAGCGCCTGTAGTCCCAGCTACTTGGGAGGCTGAGGCAGGAGACGCACTTGAACCTGGGAGGCGGAGGCTGCAGTGAGCCGAGATGGCGCCATCGCACTCCAGCCTGGGCAACAGAGCAAGACTCTGTCTCAAAAAATAATAATACTAATAATAATTTCAACTTTTATTGTAGATTAAGGGTTACATGTGAAGGTTTGTTACATGGATATACTGTGTGACACTGAGGTCTGGGGCACAAATTCTCCTGTCACCCATGTAGTGAGTGTAGTACCCGATAGTTCTTTAGCCCTTGTCCCCTCCCCATCTCTCCCCTCTAAAAGTCTCCAGTGTCTATTTTTCCCATCTTTATGTCCATATGTACCCAATATTTGGCTCCCACTTACAAGTGGGAACATGCAGAATTTGATTGTCTATTCCTGCATTAATTCACTCAGGATGATGGTGTCCAGATTCATCTATGTTGCTGCAAAGGACATGATTTCATTCTTTTTTTCTGGCTATGTAGTATTCCATGGTATACAGGTACCACATTTTCTTTATCCACCCACTGTTGATGGGCACATAGATTGATTCCATGTCTTTGCTACTGTGAATAGTGCTGTGATTAACATATATGTGTCTTTTTTGTGGAATGATTTATTTTCCTTTGGATATATGCCCAGTAATGGGATTGCAGGGTTGAATGGTAGTTCTGTTTTTAGTTCTTTGAGAAATCTCCAAACTGCTTTCCACGGTGCCTGAACTAATTTACATTCCCACCAACAGTGTATAAGCATTTTCTTCCCCTAGCAGCCTTGTCAGCATCTGTTATTTTTTGTCTATTTTTTTAATTTTTAATTTTTTTTTTTTTTTTGAGATGGAGTTTCACTCGTCACCCAGGCTGGAGTGCAGTGACGCAATCTCAGCTCACTACAACCTCCGCCTCCTTGGTTCAAGCGATTCTCCTGCCTCAGTCTCCTTAGTAGCTGGAATTACAGGCGTGTACCACCATGCCAGGCTAATTTTTGTATTTTTAGTAGAGACAGGGTTTCACCATGTTGGCCAGACTGGTCTTGAACTCCTGACCTCAGGTGATTCACCCACCTCGGCCTCCCAAAGTGCTGGCATTACAGGCATGAGCCACCACACCTGGCCCTGTTTTTTGTCTTTTTAATAATAGCCATTTTGATGGTGTGAGATGGTATCTCATTGTGGTTTTGATTTGCATTTCTCTAATGATTAGTGATGAACTTTTTTATGTTTGTTGTCCACTTGTCTGTCTTCTTTTGAGAAGTGTCTGTTCATGTCCTTTGCCCACTATTTAATGGGGTTGTTTTTTGCTTTAAGTTCCTTATAAATTCTGGATATTAGACCTTTGTTGGATGCATAGTTGGCAAATATTTTCTCCAATTCTGTGGGTTGTCTGTTTATGCTGTTGATGGCTCCTTTGGCTGCACAAAACCTCTTTCATCTAATTAGGTTCCTCTTATCAATTTTTGTTTCTGTTGCAATTGTTGTTGAGGACTTAATCATAAATTCTTCGCCAAGGCCAATGTCCAGAATGGCATTTCCTGGGTTTTCTTCTAAAGTTTTTATAGTTTGAGGTCTTACATTTACATCATCAATCCATTTTAAGTTAATTTTTATGTATGGTGAAAAGTTGGGGTTCAGTTTCATTCTTCTGCATATGGCTAGCTAGTTATCCCAACATCATTTGTTACATAGGGAGTCCTTTTCCCATTGCTTATTTTTGTCAACTTTGTCAAAGATCAGATGGTTATAGGTGTGCAGCTTTATTTCTGGGCTCTCTAATCTGTTCCATTGGTCTATGTGTCTGTTTTCGTACAAGTACCATGCTCTTTTGGTTCTTGTAGTCTGATAGCATAGTTTGAAGTCAGGTAATGTCATACCTCTGTCGTTGTTCTTTTTGCTTAGGATTATCTTGGCTATTTAGGTTCTTTTTTGGTTCCATATGAATTTTGTGGTAGTTTTTTTCTAATTCTGTGAAAAGTGACATTGGTAGTTTGATAGGAATAGTGTTGAATGTGTAGATTGCTTTGGGCAGTATGGCCATTTTAACAATATTGATTCTTCCTATCCATGAGCATGGAATATTTTTTTTTTTTTTTTTAATTTATTTTTTTATTGATAATTCTTGGGTGTTTCTCACAGAGGGGGATTTGGCAGGGTCATGGGACAATAGTGGAGGGAAGGTCAGCAGATAAACAAGTGAACAAAGGTCTCTGGTTTTCCTAGGCAGAGGACCCTGCGGCCTTCCGCAGTGTTTGTGTCCCTGATTACTTGAGATTAGGGATTGGTGATGACTCTTAACGAGCATGCTGCCTTCAAGCATCTGTTTAACAAAGCACATCTTGCACCGCCCTTAATCCATTTAACCCTGAGTGGACACAGCACATGTTTCAGAGAGCACAGGGTTGGGGGTAAGGTCACAGATCAACAGGATCCCAAGGCAGAGGAATTTTTCTTAGTGCAGAACAAAATGAAAAGTCTCCCATGTCTACTTCTTTCTACACAGACACGGCAACCATCCGATTTCTCAATCTTTTCCCCACCTTTCCCGCCTTTCTATTCCACAAAGCCGCCATTGTCATCCTGGCCCGTTCTCAATGAGCTGTTGGGCACACCTCCCAGACGGGGTGGTGGCCGGGCAGAGGGGCTCCTCACTTCCCAGTAGGGGCGGCCGGGCAGAAGCGCCCCTCACTTCCTGGGCGGGGCGGCTGGCCGGGCGGGGGGCTGACCCCCCCACCTCCCTCCCGGACGGGGCGGCTGGCCGGTCGGGGGGCTGACCCCCCACCTCCCTCCCGGACGGGGCGGCTGGCCAGGCAGAGGGGCTCCTCACTTCCCAGTAGGGGCGGCCGGGCAGAGGCGCCCCTCACCTCCCGGACGGGGCGGCTGGCCGGGCAGGGGGGCTGACCCCCCCCACCTCCCTCCCGGACGGGGCGGCTGGCCGGGCGGGGGGCTGACCCCCCCACCTCCCTCGCGGACGGGGCGGCTGGCCGGGCAGAGGGGCTCCTCACTTCCCAGTAGGGGCGGCCGGGCAGAGGCGCCCCTCACCTCCCGGACGGGGCGGCTGGCCGGGCAGGGGGGCTGACCCCCCCCACCTCCCTCCCGGACGGGGCGGCTGGCCGGGCGGGGGGCTGACCCCCCCACCTCCCTCGCGGACGGGGCAGCTGGCCGGGCAGAGGGGCTCCTCACTTCCCAGTAGGGGCGGCCGGGCAGAGGCGCCCCTCACCTCCCGGACGGGGCGGCTGGCCGGGCAGGGGGGCTGACCCCCCCCACCTCCCTCCCGGACGGGGCGGCTGGCCGGGCAGGGGGGCTGACCCCCCCCACCTCCCTCCCGGACGGGGCGGCTGGCCGGGCGGGGGGCTGACCCCCCCACCTCCCTCGCGGACGGGGCGGCTGGCCGGGCAGAGGGGCTCCTCACTTCCCAGTAGGGGTGGCCGGGCAGAGGCGCCCCTCACCTCCCGGACGGGGCGGCTGGCCGGGCAGGGGGGCTGACCCCCCCCACCTCCCTCCCGGACGGGGCGGCTGGCCGGGCGGGGGGCCGACACCCCCACCTCCCTCCCGGACGGGGCGGCTGGCCGGGCGGGGGGCCGACCCCCCCACCTCCCTCCCGGACGGGGCGGCTGGCCGGGCAGAGGGGCTCCTCACTTCCCAGTAGGGGCGGCCGGGCAGAGGCGCCCCTCACCTCCCAGACGGGGCGGCTGGCCGGGCGGAGGGCTGACCCCCCCACCTCCCTCCCGGACGGGGCGGCTGGCCGGGCAGAGGGGCTCCTCACTTCCCAGTAGGGGCGGCCGGGCAGAGGCGCCCCTCACCTCCCGGACCGGGCGGCTGGCCGGGCAGGGGGCTGACCCCCCCACCTCCCTCCCGGATGGCACGGCTGGCCGGGCGGGGGGCTGACCCCCCACCTCCCTCCCGGATGGGGCAGCTGGCCGGGCGGGGGGCTGACCCCCCCTCACCTCCCTCCCGGATGGGGTGGCTGCCGGGCGGAGATGCTCCTCACTTCCCAGATGGGGTGGCTGCTGGGCGGAGAGGCTCCTCACTTCTCAGACGGGGCAGCTGCCGGGCGGAGGGGCTCCTCACTTCTCAGACGGGGTGGTTGCCAGGCAGAGGGTCTCCTCACTTCTCAGACGGGGCGGCCGGGCAGAGACGCTCCTCACCTCCCAGACGGGGTCTCGGCCGGGCAGAGGCGCTCCTCACATCCCAGATGGGGCGGTGGGGCAGAGGCGCTCCCCACATCTCAGACGATGGGCGGCCGGGCAGAGACGCTCCTCACTTCCTAGATGTGATGGCGGCTGGGAAGAGGCGCTCCTCACTTCCTAGATGGGATGGCGGCCGGGCGGAGACGCTCCTCACTTCCCAGACTGGGCGGCCGGGCAGAGGGGCTCCTCACATCCCAGACGATGGGCGGCCAGGCAGAGACACTCCTCACTTCCCAGACGGGGTGGCGGCCGGGCAGAGGCTGCAATCTCGGCACTTTGGGAGGCCAAGGCAGGCGGCTGGGAGGTGGAGGTTGTAGTGA